>NC_000010.11:1828181-1979696 GCF_000001405.40 Homo sapiens | reverse complement strand
TGAAGGCAAGAGGCATGGGTGCTTCTGACAGCAATCCCCTTTGCAGGCAAGTGAAGAATCCTGCACCTGCATGAACCCTATCTGCCTGCCTCTGCTCCGAAGCACCCGCTTCCCCCCATCTGCCTGGACTCTGCTCCGAAGTGCCCACTTCTTCCCATCCACCTGGCCTCTGCTCCAAAGTGCCCGAGTCTTGTGAATTTATATTTAACATCCTTAGGAAGGATTTTCTCACATCTTGATGCATAATCCTGATCACAGGTCATTCACTTTTAAATTTTATTGTGCCAGGAACTTTTCTGAGCATTTTACTCATTTATCTTAACAACAATTTATCTTCACAATGATACCCTAAGGCAAACATTATACTATCATAAAGAAGAGAAAATTAAGACAAAACACAGATTAAGTAATAAACCCAAGGCAAGCTAGCTAGTAACTGGGGGAGGTAAGATTCAAATGCAAGTATCATAGCTCCAGACCCTGTGTTTCTGGATTGTATGCCTTAGAAATAAAGAATAGTTAAAATGAGAGATTGGACAGCCTGTAAATATAAAGTTAAAAACATGCATTTATTATGCTGGAATTTGTGTGGGTCAGAAATCCAGGCACAGCTGAGATGGACCCAGGGTTCTTCACAGCTGTGGTAAGATGTAGACCAGGGCTGAGGTCTCATCTGAAGGTTTGCCTGGGGATGGACCTGTGGATAAGCAGATTGGTTGTTGGCAGGATGCAGCTGCTGCAGGCTGGGAACTGAGGGCCTTAATTCCTAGCGGCTCTTGGCTGGAGGCCATCCCCAAAGAGGATGTAAGGTGAGAAGGCAGTAAAGAGGGTTGCTAGCAGCATGGAAACTGCAATTTTATGTGTTGCAATCTTAAATAAACTATCACCTTTGCCATACTTGTCAGGAGCAGGCACAGATCCGACTTGAAGGGAGGGGTTGCAGAAGGGCATGAATTCCAGAGTGAGGCATCATCAAGGCCATGCAGAGGCCTTGCTGCCCCGCCCAAGCACCTCATTTTGAGGATAATATGCTGAGGACTAATAAGTGAAGCCTAAAAAGATGCAGTTAGCTAATCTCAAATAGCCAAATGTCTATGTCTCCTATTTATTTCAGAGTTGATTTTTTTTCTAATAGTTTAATGGGTTCCTCTTTCCAACTCTGCAAACTCTTGTGGGTGATCAAACGTTTATGTGAAAGTAGCAAAACTAAGGTGGTAGTAGACATGTGAGTTTAAAAATAATAGGCTGGAGAAAACTTTCCTATAGCACTCAGGGATTTCTCACACTCACACATGTAGACAGGACAGACATGTGATCCTGCCCTTGTGTACCAGGCTTTTTGTTGTTGTTGCTTGTTTTTTCTTTTTTCCCCATTGCAGCAGCTTTTTATAGGTGTCAGCCTCAAAGAGAGTTATTATATCTTCACTTGCTGGCCAGGCGAAATCATTTCAGTTATACCTCACAGTGTCTGCCTTACCTCAAACTTACTATATCTATGAGCTCATATAAGTGCACTTGCTGTAGAAGCACAGCCTGTACTCTTCAGCCCCACAAAAATGCAATCATGGCTTCAGGAAATAGATAGTTCTATGCATGTCAGCCTCTCCTTATATAATACTCGAACCCAGCAGGATTATTTCAAATACACACACAGAAACATTTATATGAAGAATTAGATGGGCTTGTTTCAACAATAAAATCTTTAATATGACAAGCAATTGATTACAGATGCATCCATTTAACTGTGCTCCAAAATATTTGTCCTGAGGAAGGAGTCTGTGAATTCACCAAAAAGACAGAGCACAGCTGCCAGGAGTCTCCCAGAGATGTGATATGTCAGCCACCCTCCAGAACAGAAGGGCTATGCTTGTTGTTTTTATTCATGATCTTGTTACTTGAAATGAAACAAAATCACAAATACATAGACTTTCTAGGCTTAAAACAGGGCTGTGAGATTAGAGTATTATGGATTAATGTGCCCCTCTGGCTTATAAGAGCACAAGGCCAAATCCAGTTAAAAAAGAGAGAAGAGCAATCGTCCTCTGCTTGGGATAAACAAATCTGCTTCATCCATCTGGTGGGGCTCATATTAACACAAATCCCACCCAATAGGATTGGCCAATTTATTTCCAGTGATAAGAACAGCCCCACCTGATGCAAACCTGCTGGAAAAACATGCTGTCTTTTAGCCATATTCCTTCCACAAAGGAGCAGTACAGGGCATACAGTATAAAGACGGAAATGTTTAAAAGGGAAGAGGATGTTTAGAAACTCACCCAGTGCAGGAGAGGAGGGGAGGGTCATTTCAAAAGACGTCCTATAAATTTCAGATGTTTTTCTCACTCTGGGGTAAGTGATCGGAGATTGAATTGCTTCCTAGAGAGAAAATTCCACTCTGAGCTTACTTCTCTTTTCGTCTGCATTTATATTTATAAGAGGCATCAGAGTGCTGGGAAGAACTGAAGCATGGCTGAAAAGTTGAACAGATACTGTCTCCATATCATGGTTTAATACACCGATAAACTGACCATTGAATTCAGTCACCATTCAAAAGAAGAAGCTTGAGGAAGTGAGCACATCGAACCTGCCCTGATTTTAGCATAACACACACTTAGGAGACTCCAGAAAGATGGCAGAGGAACTGCAGCCTCAGGAAGCCAACCAACCCCTGCTCATGAAATTTAACTACCTTCAAAGATGATCAAGCCTTGGCCAGGCAAGCTGGCTCACGCCTGTAATCCCAGCACTTTGGAAGGGCCAGGTGGGTGAATCTCAAGGTCAGGAGTTCAAGACCAGGCTGGCCAACATGGTGAAACTCTATCTTTACTAAAAATACAAAATTAGCCTGGCGTGATGGCGGGCACCTGTAATCCCAGCTATTCAGGAGGCTGAGGCAGGAGAATCGCTTGAACCTGGGAAGCGGAAGCTGCAGTGAGCCGAAATCATGCCACTGCACTCCAGCCTGGGTAATAGAGCAAGACTCCACCTCAAAAAAAAAAAAAAAAGATTATCAAGTCTCATGAAGCATAAAAATGGCATTAATACATGTATAATACGTTAATACATTGAATTAGGAATATTATTAGATTAATATGTACAAAAAGTGAAATGCAACTAATTTGACCCCTAAATTGTAGGATATATTAGGATATTATTTTTTGATTAAAAAAAAACCACCATGATCTACCTGATTCATAAAATAATTTGTATTTTATTTTACTATAATTCTTGTTTGCCTACCCAATCACATCCAGAAACTGGCATGAAGAAATGGTTTGTTCTTCATAATAGATAAAGATATATAATAATAATCGATTAATTGATTTATTAATGTATAGCATTTAGTGAATACCTATTGTTTGCCAATCACTGGTTTGACAATAGGCTTCAAATTCAGCAAGAGAAATCGAGTCTCTGATTTCATCCTGTTTATAGTAAAATATGGGCAGTGAAAAATAAACTAGAAATTAGAGTATTAACTCCACTGCAAGGAGTGTGTGTGTGCACACGTGTGCATGTGTGTGTGAGTGTATGTGTGTCTCTGCTTACACATCTTTGAGTAGACTGAATTTGTTATATACATGTGTGTGATTCTCTATTCAAATATTTGTGCACTTAATTAGATTATTTGACCATTAAGAACTAAGAACTTATTATTGTAATGTAGTAACTACAGAGATGTGAAATGATTTTTAAACGCATATGAGTCTTTCAAGTTACAAACTCAAGTATGCAAAACATAATTTTTATACTGAATATAATGTGTACATTAACTCCCATTCCCCTGATCTTGCAGATTTTAATCTTAATTAATTCAGAAATGTCTGAATCAATTTGTGGTTTTCCTAGTTTGGAATTACCATCCCAACTCACTTTTCCTCAGGCATACTACATTTTCCTCTAAAATTTATTTCTTTTTTCTAATCAACTCCTAATTAATTTAGCCCTAGGATGGAAAAAACTGATGGTCAGCTATATCAGGCATTTGGCCCAAATTTTTGTGTTTTTTTGTTTGTTTGTTTGTTTATGACAAAAACTGTGATAGTGACAATTAAAAAAATAAGATTTTGAGGTTTTGAGACTCAATGGTCCTTTTTATCTACAGCTCTCCTGAGAACTTCAAAATGCAACTCTGAATCTCAAAAGATTACAAAGAATTCTTCTTCGTTTTGTTGTTCTGTGGCCGATTTCCTTCCTGCATCTGTGTATGGAAATAGGGCCAACTCGGAGAGCTGCACAGAATCACAATGACCAATGCAAACACACTGGCCAACAACCCAAACGTGGTCCTTTCACCAACTCCATTTAAAGCAGTTGCCTACAAGTCCCAGAGAAGGAAGATAATGAATGAATCATGACATAAACAGAAAAGGGGATGCTTCTCCATTGGTAAAGTTGTGGAAGATTATTTGGTGGGTTTAGCGATGCTCATTACACATCACTCATTATGAAGGCAATTGTGCAACTGGAGGAGCCAATGTATTATAATAGCTGGGGAGGCCGGGAATGGTGTCCCCTGCCTGTAACCTCAGCTACGTGGGATGCTGAGGTGAGAGGATTGCTTGAGCCTGGGAGATGGAGGCTGCACTGAGCCGTGGTTGCACCACTGCACTGCAGCCTGGGTAACCCACTGAGGCCCTGTCTCAGAAAAGAAAAAATAAATAAACAACTGGAGTAAGTACTCTGTCCCCAGCAACACTTGCCTCTAGGTTTTGTGAGGCAGACTATCTGGAATTTCTTTTTTGACTGTTTCTGTATTTTCCAAGCTACGTATAGTCATTTTATAATACTTAGCCATTAAATATATCAAACATCATTTCTTCCCCATCATCTTATGCTACAGAGTTAACATTACCTACTGAAACGACTTGGCTCTGTGTTTCCACCCAAAACTCATCTCAAATTGTAATCCCCCTATGCCTCGGAGGCACCTGGAGGGAGGTGATTAGATTATGGCACAGTTTCCCTGATGCTATTCTTATGATAGTGAGTGAGTTCTCAGGAGAACTAATGGTTTTAAAGTGTGGCACTCTCTCTTCCACCATAGAAGACATGCCTTGCTTTCCCTTTGCCTTCCACCATGATTGGAAGTTTCCTGAGGCCTCCCAGACATGTGGAACTGTGAGTCAGTTAAACCTCCCTTCTTTATAAATTACTCAGAGAGTACATTTACAGCAGTGTGAGAACAAACTCATAAGCCTACTATCCTACTGCAATGCCTGGATTATTCTTCATCATGACCCCTTTTCATAAAAAAAAAAAAAAACAGTTTGTGGAGGATCTAAGAAAATCCACAGGAAAGCAAAGTGATGAAGGTTTCACGCTGATGTAAAAGTTCACATTTTATCTGACTTATTTTAGATGTATCTTTTTTTTAGCTAAACATTTGTGCACATCATCAGTTCTACATTTAGTTTAACCATGTAATTATAAAATATATCTCCACATAGAAAGCATTCACTCTGATTTGTCATGCTTTGTAATATGGGACATTTTAAATTGCATGTCTCTGTTGCTACCTTTTCCATTGCTTTACCTAGAACTAGTCACATGGTTAGCACACTAAAGCAGCATACCTTTCAGTAGCATATGTACTGGAAATAACCTCATTAATACTTGCATACATGGTTTACATTAACCTCCAAGATAAAGACAAATACAGCAAATATGGGACATCAGACCTTATTCTAATGCCCAGACAAAGGTCCACCAGCTGGACAATTCACCTCTTAGTGGCTCCACATGTTTCTTAAACCAGATGCCAATTATCTTCTCAGTACTGGGCAGTGGGCAAGAAACATGGAAAAGGATGATTTTTTTTTAAAAGTAACAATTGACTGACCCACTGATTTTACGTGATAGTCTACAAAAAAAAACTTATTTAAAAAATAAATATAGAAAACATATAAAAGCACAATCCTGTGCATATGTTGTGTGTGTGACAGAGAGCAATTTTTTACTAAATTTATTCACACTGTATGCACTATTACATCACTGCAAGGTTTTCTGTTGGCACATTTTTCTTTTTCTTTTTGTTTTTTTTTTCTTTGTAACCACAGAACATTCTACTATATAAACAGGGTTTTATTTTTGTTCCCTATTGGAGAATATTTTGTTCTTTCCCATACTGTAATGAATATTTTTTGTTTCTGTTTTCTGCTGCCTGAATCTCATCCCCAGAACTTTTATGAGATCTTGTTCTTAGATCTTACACCTGGCCGCCTTTTCCTCTCATCTAGTCACCTTGAGCTGACCTCAGAGGTGCATTCTCATGAAAGTCCTTGCTGACCACCTAGCCTCTTAATCTCCAGTTCCCTGTTAGATTTTTCTTCATAGCAATTTTCCTTATGAGAAATCACTGATGTTCATTTTTATAATGTTTTCCTAACTGGAATGGAGGCTTTATGGTTTTCTTATCATTACTCAATAAATGTTGTTTGGGTTTATGAAGAGCCTACCTGTGTACGGTTTAGGGCTGAGGGGCAGTGGTCTTAAAGCCGAAGTCACTAACAGCTACAGCTCTCTTCTAGGGTCCAAAAGCATTCATAATACTCAGTTCCAAAATGAGGCAAAGGTAGGCAATAGCATCAATAGTAGCTGATAATTCCTGAGGACTCACTGAGCCCAAGTCCTGGGCACAGAATCCTCACAGCAACAAATCAGCATGTATCTGCCATTATTCTTCCCCCACAGCAGACTGTACTCTACACATACAATGAAACTCATTTTCTAACCCACATTCTCATGTGTAATATGATCTTTCTAGACATCCATCAAGATTTAGAGTTCATTTTTTTTAATCTCCTTTAGCCTGTGGGAGTCCTACACTGATTTGGTGACTTAGAAGATGGTAGAAGTAACTTTGCCACTAACCTTCTAGAAGCCCCTCCCTCTTGGAAAGATTGGTCTAGGAATAATTCCTTTTGGAAGCCAGAAGCCATGGTGTGAGAAGAACAAGCTCTTCCAGGAGGCTGTGCTTTGAGTAATGGCTAGGATCACTTGTCTGAGAGAAGCTGTCGTGGATGCAAAACCACGACATCAGGTTGCTCCACCTCCAGCTGCCATCTGACTGCAACCACCGGAGCCCTCAGCAAAAACCACCCTGCTGAGCCCAGTCCACCCAAAGAACCACTGGTGGTAACAATAAACAGCTGTTTTAAACCACTGGGTTTTGGAGTGGCTTGTGGGTAACAATAGATAAGTGGAAAATAATTTGGTATTTTCAATGGGTGCTGTGAAAATGAAAACCCAGAACAATTGACACTGGCCTTGATTCCAACAGGCAGGCAAGAGAGGGAAGACTTTGCAGAGGTTGGTGGTGGAGGTCTGCAGGACAGGGGTGAAGTGGCTGTACGAGGCTGGAGAAGAAAGGGTTCAGAGTTCTCTGAAAGAGCAATTAGCAAACCTATATGTGGGCTGCAGTAATAACCGATAAAAAGGGTATGCAATGAACATTCAAACCTGGCTAAGCTGCATCCAGGCAGAAGGTAGCGAGCATCACTAGGAGCATCACCAGAGTCTTCTCGTGTCCCAAGACGCAATACAAAAAGTGGAAGCTTTGTGATGCACTGGTAAATATGCAGAACATCTCTATTTACAGGTGAGGAAACCAAGACTCAAACAGAAAACTGACAGGTATTGATCATCCCCAATGTTAGGTTCTTGGCCAGGCATTTTTTTCTCATTTAACTGCCTGGAGCAGCATGTAATTTTGTCCCCATGTAACAGAAGAAGAGCCATGTATGCCACAAGAAAGCAGAAGAACCAGGTCCACACATCCACGTCCTTGGATTCAACCTGGCCTCACCGGCTCCAAAACTGACATCATGATAAACTGTTGGGGGAGTGGGGAACCATAACCAGATCCTCTGCTGCTGAACACTGTTTCAGCCAGTGGGCTACTTTTCCTGCAAATGCCAAGCAGACGCCTATACCTGCCTCTGCTGATTGTCGGAGTAATGTGCACATCACAATGGACCATGCAGACGCCTATACCTGCCTCTGCTGATTGTCGGAGTAATGTGCACATCACAATGGACCATGCAGACGCCTATACCTGCCTCTGCTGATTGTCGGAGTAATGTGCACATCACAATGGACCATGCAGACGCCTATACCTGCCTCTGCTGATTGTCGGAGTAATGTGCACATCACAATGGACCATGCAGACTCCTATACCTGCCTCTGCTGATTGTCGGAGTAATGTGCACATCACAATGGACCATGCAGTTCCTCGACCATTAACACCATACCACGTCTCCATGCAGAAATGCCAGCTAAAACCACCGCACAGCCATGTCTCCGTGATTATAAGCAAAATTCTTGCAAAGTTTCCTATACATAAAATGTGTTTTACCATGGAGCTAGAATCCCATGTGGAAGGAAAGGACTTTACTTTTCCCACCAGTTTCCTTTTATAGTGGAGAGGAGGAGGGTCTTATGCAGCAAATACCCTCTAAACCTCTTGCTCTGCCAAATACACGTCCTGGCCACTTGTTATATGAGACAGGTGTGCCTCCCTTCCAAGACCCCTGGCTCAGAGGACAAATGCAGTCACCCAGGGGGCAGGGTGGATGAGGTAATACCAGGTTGCGACAGGTCCACACGACTAGCTCAGTCAACGAGACCACCTGCTCAAATGCAATCTGTGTGTATGACACTGTGCGATGTGCAGAAGGAACTTCCGTGACTTCGTGGGCCTTAAGGAATGGAGCCATCGGAGGAAACCAACCGAACAAAGTGCTTGAACAATTCATGTGACTAACAAATGCACTCGTTGAATATTTCTTGCACTCATGTATTCAAAAATATTTATAGAGTGGGCACCTTGGCCATATTTTTTTCTAAGTACTGAACTTAGCAAGGTAAGAGTCATATTTGACATGGGCAGAAGAGTTTCCAGGGAAAAGAGGTGCCTGGCCGGAACAGTTTCAAGAGGAAAATGGAGAAGAGAAACAAGAGATGGGAAGATGGCACAAAGTCTTTCAAGGAGTTTTGCTGTTAAGAAGGACAAAAGCCATGGCAGTGCTGGAAGGTAATGTGAGGACAAGACGTTTCCATTGTAAAATGGTCAAAATTACAGCATGTGTGTACAGAGGAGAATGTGGGAGTGACAAGGGAGAAATGATGGGATAAGTCCTGGGCACATCATTGAGCAGGTGAGGCAACACAGGCTCTAGCACACCCAGAGGAGCTGGGTTTCTTAGGACACCGATTGTCCCAGGCCTCACAAAGTCAGGCAGAGACAGACGCAGGTGCAGTCAGATGGCAGATGTGTGTTGGGTGTTAGACATTATCTTGTAATAACTGGCCAGGAAAGAGGAGAGTGGGAGGCTGGGGCTGGTGACAGGAGACAGTGACAGCAGAAGAATGTTGCTTATGCCCAGTCTACTCCATAATCTCATTTTGGTGGCTGTCGCTGCAGAAAATCCTGCTTCACAAAGACAGGATGTTGGAAATGGAAGGGTATGCAACGGTTTCTGGGAGATAGGAGGTCAGACCAGGCAGAGGGGTAGTCTTGCAGGACAGCCCCAGGAAGCCGCATGCAATGTCGGGGAGGAGGAAAGAGGCGTTCTCGACCCCCCTGGAGCATACACGGGAACGAGGCTTGGAGCTCAGTTAGGATGTTTGTAACTGGACTTGCACACCCCACCTGCCCCTTCTGGAAATCTATGAGGCTTAAAGACTCTCACAATACCTAGAGAGGTATGGACAGTTCTATGCTATATCGGACATGCTATGTTGTCGGGGTAAAAATAAAACGGAGACATTTGTGCCCGTCGCTGGCATGCTGGACGATGAATTATGGCACAGCTAGGAAATCTCATGCAGGGCAGCCTTAAATGCATATGACCCAAATCTCATGCAGGGCAGCCTGACCATGATCAGGCAGCTCAGGACATCATAATAGGAAATGATAACCAAGGTTCATTACCACGTAAAGCAAAACAAAATACAAGGTGTCATAAATGTGTCTAGTATCTGACCAAATGTTTAAAGAGAAAGACACACACACACACACATACACGTACACACACATAGATATACATAAAACATCCCCAGAATTACAGGTAAAAACCAATCAGAGTTGTTCCCTCTGAGATGGAAACTGAGGGATGTTAAGTAAGTGTGGGATGTTCCTCTACAGATAATGACAGAAAATAGGCGTATTACTAGTCAAGTAAATTAAACATAAGAACTTAAGGTTTTATTTTGTTCTTTTTTTTTTTTCAAATGTCAAGTTGTCCTGGGCTGTGTCTACAGACCCATGGGGTGTGATTGACACTCTTTAGACTTGCCATGATGGAACAGCTGAACCGCCATTGTAGACTGGCACCATGGAAGGCTCATTTCCACATTTGTGGAAATATGTTCCCCCACAGAATTGTAAACCCTTGGAGGAAAAATATAATACCTCTAAGATCCTCTGCCGGAAGTCGTTACCTTAATCTGCCTCTATGATCACAAAGGTTGATTACACAGAGCCTGACAGCCTTGTGAGAGTTAACGTTCTGATTCCGTGTTCCTTTCCACTCCTTAAGCCCTCACACCATCAACATGCCATAACAGTAAAAGTAAAAAACAATGCTTTTCATATAAGACCCAAAGAACTAGTGTGTCTTCAACTAGTCCATTACTTTTAGTTGTAGAAATTAAGAGACACAAGTTGAATAACACCTATTGAGTCCTGTTTTACTTACCTAATCACCGCATCAGCTCGAACGGGTATTTACGCAATGGGGTTCACAGCACGGTGAGGATTGCTCACCTGTTATGTCCCTTACACGTCTGACCCCCTGCAGCTGACGTACTAAGACATGGGCTGACGCTGAGCTGGCTCTGCGTGTTTTCCTACCAAGTGTGATTCAAGATGCGATCGCATGCCAAGTGGACTGCTTCCAACTGAGCCAGCTAACACCGAGAGATGTGTTAAATTACTCTCATCCGTTACCATCAATGGCTCTCAGGAAGTAGAAAGGGCCTTGGGGATGACTCTTGGCAACTGTTTTAATAACTCTCCTATAGCTCCACTGATGTGTGGTCATTACAATTTTTATAGGAAGTGATTAAAGTGGAAGTGGGTTTTCTGAATAGATATGGGACTTGTAAAATGCTGTCTTTTCTGAAAAGATACTTTGAAAACCTTTGCAAAACAAAAATTTGACCCACAGGACATAGAAAAAGTGGCCAAGCTTCCCTCTGTACCGCCAAGAAAAGGGATGGGAAAGGAAGGAAGAGTTAGTGAGAATCTGAGATGGACTTCCTTTCTCTGAGGCTCTGGGATAACCCAGTGTTCCTTTAGGAAACAGAAGTGTCAACAAAAGAAATTGAAGCAGGAAAATTACCAACACAATGTCTAATAAATATGTAAATAAACACTGGGGATTGGGTTGAGAAATATTCAGCTACTCAGCAATAGGTTTTTCAGAATTGGGGGTAGGACTTTAATTAGTAGCACTTTAGAAACAATGCAAGTAGGTCTGAGGCAGAGATGGTAGCTTTTCTCGTCTTTGCTTTAAAAAAAGCTACTAGACCTTGGGCAGCTCTTCAGTATCTTTGGACACAGGTAGTGACCTGGGGAGAGGGAGTGGCTTGCGTTGATTGAAGCTCCGGCCTCGGATCTGAGCTCCCTGTCCGTATTCCTGCTCAGGCCACCTCCCATCTCACAAGTGAATTCATCTCTTGATGCTTCCCCTTTCTCCATTTATAAAATGAGAGTAATGGAAATACCTACTTCACAAGGCTGTCTTACGGTCAGAATAAACTAATATTTCCAAATATTAGTAAATGTGCTGGAAAATAGTAAATGCTATGCAAAAATGGCTTGTCAGTCTTGCTATTAATTGTGATACATACAATTATTTCCTTATAAAAGGGAAGGATAGCTGAGGTCTCTAGGTACAATGCAATTCAGAAATGTTACAATACTGAGCAGCCAATAAATGTTACATAGCAAATCTTCTGGAAATGCCAAATTATGAGAGAAATGATGTATACTGTTCCGCATGGCAGAGTAACTAGTCACTAAATATCAAACATTACTCTCCTTGAAACAAACCGTTACCCTAGTCCAAATGGAACCTCAGGCCCTGTTCTGAAATCCGCACATCTTTTGGTATCCATTAAGGAATCTATACTGCAACTGCTTATTGGATTTTTGCATATTTATATAGTCTTATCAGTTCATAGATGCCTGGTGTAGCTTTTGACTCAGCATAATGCCAAGTTCAGGCTACAGTGGCTTACTGCAAAATTTTCAATGAGCTAAATATCCCCATGCATAAAACAATTAGATTTTGCATTGTTTAGAATGTACAACTCTTTGTATCTTTTGTCCAAATAAATCTGATACTATTTTGGTATATGATTCTTATCTTTAGTAAACCATTTAAAGGACATTTGGACATCCTTGTTTCTCCTGATTCATAGCACAGAAGCAGAATGTGCTGTTCTCCATAACCATGGAGAAAATTTATTCCCCACTGACCTGCCCACTGAAATCATGTCCTCGACGCAGCTGCACGCGGTTAGAATTGGATCCTCCCACCTCCCCCAAGAACACCCATCTCTTCTCATATTGTGGACATGGATTTATTTTCTTATGGAGTTGCATTAGAAAGAGATTTAATTATGAACATCTAAAAATGCACATTGTGAAACGCAGCTGAACGATCCCCAAAGGCTTAAAGCAGGTGAAGTCCATGGACAACGTTGAAGAGTGTGTCCCAGGGGATCCACTCCCCTGCTCCTTCCCGTGCGGATGACATGCCTTGGCCACGTGAAAAGCACAACCCACATATCCCGGAGTTCCAGCTGAGAACAATGATTCAGAGATCAGGGCATGACGAGCTTTTCGATAAAATCAGCTTATGGAGTTAAAAGACTGGCTTCTGACTGATCTCCTTAGGATATATTTAATCCAAAAGGAAAAGTCACCGGAGAGTGCCAGCAAACTACTTGGATAATAAGGAAGTTTTAAAAATAGAAAGGTGAGATCATATAGGGTAACAATCAGAGTTAGAGCTGGTCTAGTTTATGAGTTATTGCATATTCTTAATTCAGAAAGCCACAGACATATGGTTAAAGATAATGTGAATTTTCATGTGGGCCACCGTCTTTCTTAATTTAGTAAAATCTCTGGTCACTCCCAGATTGAAGATAATAAAATACAACCTTATCTAAAAATGAAGCCGACTCCTTAAAATGAAAACATGTTCAGACAAGTTATTATACTTACAATTTCCCTGACTTCCCCCTGTAGCCAAAGGGATTTTACAACTTCTCTTTCAAATACATCTTTCCTGTATGACCTTCTGTCTTTCAAAAGTCACTTTCCTTTACAAACATATGTTCATCCATTTCTATCCTTCCTTCTTTTCCTCTTCTCTTCTTTAAATATTTTCCAATTTTCTTCAAACTATTCAGATTTTTTTTGTGCATTTCATAATTCCTGCACTTCCCTAGGAACAAGGGTCTCTGAGATGTACTCAGCGATGTGTGTGTTTTCTGACATCTTCATTCGTACAGTAATTGGATGGACCCAATGGTGATCTGCAGGTTAACTCTGGTGATTCTCCAAATCTTCTTTCAATGGCTCTGTATCCTTTTCTGTCCCACTCCTATTAATTGTGTTCTAATAATTTTTATAACAAAGAACTGACAGAATAGCAAGCTGATTTTTTTTTTTTTTTTTTTTTTTTTTTTGCTCTGCTCTATCTAGGCCTAGAAGAAAAAAAAAATACAGCAGCTCTCAACTCCTCTTTTCCTATATCAAAGCTAATTTCCTTGCATTCCATTTTCCCAGACATCTGCTTCTCACTATATGACAACAGGAGAGAATAAACACTATTTTGGGGGGAATGTTTCTAAATGAAATGCTGAAAGAGGCAACTGGATTTTAGCTCTATTCTTCACTGTGAGCCCTTGCTACTTAAGGTCGTCACTTTAACTCCTCTCTGCTGACCTAGAAGTAGATTCCTCTGCTCTCAGCACCTCACAGATCCCTGGGAACAGCGCCAGGGGCTCCGACCCTGAGTAAAGTGAGTTTCTTCGCTGTGCTGCGTCCTCCACCATGCGCCCCAGCACCTTTGCTCAGGAGCTGTTAGAAGGAGCATCAACAACCCTCAAGCCAATGACAAGGGAGCTGAATGTCTTCCAAAACACCAACATCCTTGATTGACCTCTTCCAGAGAATTATCCCCAAAACTGTTCAGATTCATCCAGGAAGCAGGCAGAATGAGTCCTGTCTCCTATACTGTGCCCAAATTTCAAAGAATTTCTCCAAGCTTCCTATCCATGCTGTGTTCACTAAGTGCACACATATGTACACATGTATGCACACACACGCACACATATGCACACACGTATGCACACAGACATACATACACACTCACTCTTTCCATTTACCCCACGGGCATTCTGAAGCCTCCTGCATTCCTCTCTGTGCTGTTTTAGGTTTCTTCTTGATGGACCTTCCATCCTGTGTTTTTGCAGCTTTGGAAACCCTAAAAATTCCTACAATCTTATTTTTTTAACAAAATATTTTCTCTATTTTGTTCCTTAACTTGAACTCTTTCCCCCGGAGTATACACACGTCTTCCCCCAAAGCGCATTTCAGTCTTCATGCTTGCTGTCTCCCAGGCCTACATCCGTGGACCTTAGAGGGAGGAGAGTGCTTCCTTGGCTCCCAACACCACCTGTGAGTTCTTTGCAGAGCTCCCGCTGACACGCAGGCCCTGCAGCTCTAAGGAACCCAGCATTCCCCACCGCACGTCCAGCGCTCATTAAAGATCTACTCCCCTGAACCCATCTTTCTGTCCGGTGGGTGCCCTCTTCATCCTTAAGGAGCCTTAGACTTTGCTGCACTTCAGGAGCTGGCCCTGGACCAGTGTCCACCCCACACCGAGCCGTCACCCTCGGCTCCTCTCCAGCAGCAGCCACGTCCTGCTCGCCAGGTTCCGACAGCAGCCTCTCGCATGGCTGGGTTTTCCTTTACTTGTTTTATTTCTGTCATTCATCCATTGTCTCCGCAGCCATCTAGCAAAAACCGAAATGGTTATTCCAGGCTGGGCATGGCCCCTCGGAGGCTCCCAAGCCCCACGCGGCGCGCGGCCGGGTCTCCTCGCGTGTCCTGGGGGCTTCGTCCTGCACGGCCCTCCTTTCAGGCGTTTCCTGGGTCTCCAGTCCGCCCCGCGTTGATACTGGATTATCTGCATTTTAAAAACCCACCTAACTTTTTCCTGTGGCCAATTACGCTGTCATCCTATATTCGAGCTTCATTTGTTAAATGAAGACGTGAGTGAATGGAGAGAAAGGAAATACCCCAAACAATTCCAAAAAGGGTTGAAGAAATCTGTAAGTACGCAAAAAATAAGAAAAATGAAGAAAACTCTACTGGGGTTTGACTGACATTCCTGTAAAAAGGACAGCGTAGCAAAATCTGTTCCACATGAAGATTATTTTTAAAGAAGAAATAACATAGTTAATTTATTCAAATATCTGTCCATTTGTTAGGTTAAAAAAGGGATCTTCTGTTTCAAATTACCACTTGTTAATGAGGTTGCATATATTTTACATGTTTAAAGATCATTTTTACTTGCTCTATGTGAATTATCTCCTTTTATGCATTATTCCTATTATTTTAAAGTGAATTAAAAACTTTTATATAAATTTATATGCTCCAAAATCATTTATAAACGCCAGAAAATTACCCGCTCCTGGTAATTTCGTAATAGTCATCCCACAAATCTCCCTGAGTCTTGGAACTGAGCAAATCAATTCTTGGTTTGTCCATTCATTCAACAACTGTCTGGCAGATACTACTTAAAGTTCTAAGCTTGGAGTATTTAAAAAAAAAAACAGAGCAAATAACAATAAAAATGAATACAAGTCCTTTCCCTCACGGGACTTACATTCCACAGTGGACAACCCTGTCGCATGTGGGGTCACGGGTGCCCTCATGTCACATCACGCGTGGAGAGCCGTGCTGCGGAGAAAACACACAGGCCAGGCCGGGGTAGACGCAGATGTTTTCCCGAGTGTAGTCATGAAAGGCCGATCTATATGCTGATGTCTGAGCAGATCCCTCACATGCAGGAGTGGGACATGGTGGCCCGGCAGAGAGCGCGGAGGGAGGAAGCCCGGGAAGACAGGTCAGGAAACGCGGGGGCCCAAGGAGTCCCGTGAACTCAGCTGGGCTCGAGTGAGGTGGCGAGAAAGGAAAACTCAGTCACGTGAGTGCGAGATGTCATGGGCATGAGTGGGGACCTGCCTTTCACAGGGGGGCGTGGAAAATAGCTTGTTTTCGTTTCTCCCTCAGCCATTCCTGTGGCATTCAATACGTTCAGTCAGAACTTTCAGTTCTTCATTGTCTTAAAAAAATTACCCAACTGCTATTTTTTTCCAAATTCATTAGGAGAGTACACAGTATTTTATACTGATAAAAACACACACACACAGCTCTCAAATGAAAACAAACAAGCTATCCTTCCACAAGTAAATGGATAAACTATCCACAGCCCTTGCACACAACACAATGCCCATCAGCAAAAAATATATGAACTATCGATTCATGCAGCATCATAAGATAAAACAAGTGCGTCTTGCTGAGCAAAAGAAGTCATCGCCAAAAGCTACACACGCGCTTCCGCTGGTGAAATCTAAATGAGACAAATGGAGAAGGGGTTTATTGCAAAGGTCAGCATGATAAAATTTTTAAACGATGGAATTTTTCCATTTCTCGATTATAGTGGGAAATTCGTGACTTTATATAATTATCAATACCCATAGAACTATATTCCAAGGTGAATAAATTTTACTGTATATAATTTGATCAAAACTCAACGAGGCTATGAGGAATTCCAACATTGAATTAAAACTATAATGAATGAATTACTGGTGAAAAGCAGAACCAACTCTCGAGGTAGAAAAGAAAGAATGCAATGTTGGAAAACAATATTTTGACTGAATACTAAAGACAAAAAGCTAAAGACTAAAATAATTGAAGCAAAAAAGCTAAAGACAAAAAGAATGAAGCTAAATACAAAAAGAAATATGTGCAAACACTATTTGCTAATCAGTAAAATTAGTTTTGAAACTACTCTAGCATAAACTTGGGTTGAGCAGGTGAGTAACGGTGGAAGTCACCAAGCTTAGAGTCAATTCACAGAGAGGAAGGTGATCCCTAGATGAATCCTGTGGTTTTGGATTGAAATAGGAGAAATCAGTACAAACTCATAGTTAAAAATTATATATTACATATAATAATACACCTTACATATTATATGTAAATAATGTATTTTACCTATAAGCCTCAGCAAATATATGTATGTCAATATTTATATGTCCACATATATTTATGCTTATATATTTATTTTGGCTATTTAAAGACAGAAATACCTGTGCACCTGTGTGTCTATGTGGAGTCGCATGCACACTTTTGCTCTCTAACTCCACCCACTGGAATGGCCTGGAATCATGGCAGACCAGCAACAATGAGCACACCTCTTTCCAAGATCCTGGCTTTTTGCCTCTATTGGTTGCCTCAATAAGAGGACTCAGAATGCCTGGAGAAAGGGTGGAATTCAGGGCTGCACTGGAGAAACTAAAAGTGAACTTGGGTCATGCTGTCATGCCAAGAATAAGCTGTAAAACTGGCGGAGGATTTCTGCTCTCAGCTCTGACATGGACTGGAAGGCTGTCACTCCTATCCTGAACCCAAGAGAAAAACTAAACCTATTGAACATTGTTGCCCATTCCAGAACCCCCAAAAGGACAGGGGGCTACCCTGGATCTGGAGGGACAGGCCACGGCAGCTGACCTGAAGCCAGAGCCACAGAGCCACAAATTTGCCAGAATGCGTGGATGTTTTATGACAAATTTCTTGAGGTGGGTCATGGACTGACACAAAAATGAGGAGCGCGTGGGGCTGCAGTCTTAGAAGGACCCCACACTTCTGTGTGTTTGCACCCTGGAACCCCACTAGATTTTCATAGCGGACAGTCAAACAAATCACCTCACGTCTCTGCGAGGAGGAAGAAGAAAGCTGCTGTGTTGAACACAGACCTGCTCCCCAGAGGAAATGCTTGGCCAGTGCTTTCCTGCCCAGACGGAAGGGCAGTTCTCCTCCTCCAGCAGCCAATTCCCAGCCCCTCCTCCAGCGTCCCTCTCTTACCTAAGAAAGCCAGGAGACACCTGAGCAGGTATCAGCCGGGGACACAGGCCCACTACAGACTTGGATTTGATCATAAGAGGATAGAACACATCGTCTCCCCACCATCCTTGCCACCGCACTAGGTTCTGATGAAATAACAGCAGGTCACAGCTGAAACAGCTGCACAGCTCAAACTCTATTTGAGAAGGAGTTTGTAGGGAAACACAAAGACAGTAAGAGAGACAGAAACCTGTACATTAGAGAGGAGTTGGAAGCCCTGAAACCTACAGCTACAGAAAACATTAAGCACAGCCCAGTTTGCAGTAGATCCACGTCACACTTCACACTGAAGCTTAGTTTCTATTACGTAACCCCATATTGCCCAGATATGAACAAAAAACCATGAGGCATCCTGAAGGCAAGGATCCTCCATAATCTGAAGAGACAAAACAAGCCTCACATCCAGACTCAGACAGAACACAGATTTGGCAATTATGAGACTGGACACTTAAAATAACTGTGATTGGTACATTATGGGTTCAAATGGAAGAAGTAAATGTCATGTAAGGACTTGTGTGTCATGTAAGCAGAGAGACAAAAGTTCTAAAAAGGGATCAAAATAAAATGCTAGAAATGAAAACACCAAAACAGAAATACAGAATGCCTTTTATGGGCTTATAATTAACTAGACATGACCAAGACAAAGATCAACAAGCTTGGAGAAACATCAATAGAAACTTCTGAAACAAAAAGAGGAAAATAAAACAGAACAAAATTTTCAAAAACTGTAGGGCAATCTCAAAAGATACAATATATGGATATTTAAAATATCAGAAGGAAGATAAAAAAATAAGAGAGAGGAGTAGAAGAAATATCTGCAGTAAAATGAGCAAGAATTTTTAAAAAATCTATGACAGACACAAAAACAGAGATTCAGGAAGTTTAGAGGACACCAAGCCAAATGAAAAACAAACAAAAAAGGCTACAGGTGGGCATAAAGTATTCAAGTCACCCCAAAACTACAGCCCAACAGAAAAATCTGGAAAGTAGCCAAAGAAAAAAAGAAAAAAAATGCCTCATCCATAAACGAAAAGAATAACAATCCCACCAGACGTCTTCACAGATTCTATGTAAGCTAGAAGAGTTAAATGAAGTATTTAAGTGTTGAAAGAAGGACACCACTGACCCAGAGTTCTATATCCAGAGAAATTGTCCTTCAGAATTGGAAGAGAACTGAAGACCTTTTCAGACAAAAGCTAAGGATATTAGTTGCAAGAAGCCCAGCCCTGTGAGAAATGCTGAAAGTTCTTCAGAGCTAAAGAAAGTGATCAAGGCATGAAACTAAATGTATATAATTCTTACTTTATCTACTATTTAATTTTTTGTTCACAGTAATAAGAGTAACAATGTATTGTTTGATTACAGCATACAGATAAGTGAATTAAATCACAGCAAATTTATAAAGAAACAGAAGCAAGAGTTGGAAATATTCCCTTTTAAGGAGCCATCTGAAAGTGGACCCAGATTCCTATAAATGTATATTACAAACTCTAAGATAATCGATATTTTCTTCTTTAGAAAGCAGAGTTTATTTCTTAAGAGAAGAAATAATATTAAATTGTATGCAAAATTTAAATCAGAGAATGAAAAAATGAAGAGGAAGAAAAAACGAGTAAGTGCAATAAATACAAAATAATAAAATCATGATTGATATTAATATTAATGCAGTGCCATAAATATTTGCTTTAAATGTAAATGTTCTAACTATACCAATTAAAGGCAATGATTTTTTTTTAATTTTATTATTATTATACTTTAAGTTTTAGGGTACATGTGCACAATGTGCAGGTTAGTTACATATGTATACATGTGCCATGTTGGTGTGCTGTACCCATTAACTCGTCATTTAACATTAGGTATATCTCCTAATGCTGTCCCTCCCCCCTCCCCCCACCCCACAACAGTTCCCGGTGTGTGATGTTCCCCTTCCTGTGTCCATGTGTTCTCATTGTTCGATTCCCACCTATGAGTGAGAACATGCAGTGTTTGGTTTTTTGTCCTTGCGATAGTTTGCTGAGAATGATGGTTTCCAGTTTCATCCATGTCCCTACAAAGGAAAATGGATTTTAAACAACAACAAAAGGATAGTTTTCTATAGGAAACTCAATTTAAACATAAAGACACTAACACATTAAAATTAAAGGGATGAAGAAAGATATAGCAATGCTAACAATAATCAAAACAAAGCTCAAACAACTTTAGTAATTCCATTCAAAACAGACTTCAGAGCAAGGAAAATTATCAGGGACAAAGATGGACATTACAGAGTAATAAAGTGGTTAATTCTCCAAGAAGATATAACAATCTTTAACAAGCATGTCTTTAACAACAAAGTATCATAAAACAGGCAACCTAGTAGAACTGCAAGGAGAAACAAAAAATAACCAGTTACAGCTGGAGACTTCAATGCCTGCTTTTCAGGACTTGGTGGATCTAACAAGCAGAACATTAATAGAAATATAGTTAATCTGAACAACAATGGGGATTAACTTGACCTATATGACACTTCTAGGCAGAAGATAGAACACTCCACTCAACAAATAGCAGAAAATACATTCTTCTCAAGGTCACCTGGAACATTTACCAAGACTATGCACATTTTGGGTGATGAGACACACCTTAGCAAACTTGCAGAAAGAAAACAGACAAAATGCATTCTCAGACCACAATGAAATTACACTATAAATCAATAACAACAAGATACTTGAACCACCCCCACCAGTTCAAAATTAAAAAGCATATTTCTCACTGATGCATGTGTCAAAAAAAAGTCTGAGGAAAGTTTTAAAAACATTTTGAACTAAATAAAAGTCAAAACACAACTTTCTAATCAAATTTTATGGGATAAGGTAAAGTGATACCTACAAAGAAATACATGTATTAGAAAAGCATGATTAGAAACAAAAAGATCTGAAATCTAAGCTTGCACTTCAAGAAACTAGAGAAAAAACAATTAAAGCTTAAAATAACGAGAAGAAAAGAAAAAAATAAAAATCAGATTAGAAATCAATGAAACTGAAGCCAGGAAATTAATAGCAAAAATTAAGAAAACCAAAAGCAGGTTCTCTGAAATGATTTTTAAAATGATATACTTCTAACCTGGCTAACCAAGTAAAAGAAAAAAAAATACTCAAATTACAAATGCCAGAATGAAAGAAGGGACATTACTACGAATGAACAATAAAAGGAAATAAAGGAATATTATGAATCGCCGTATGCCCACAAATTTAGCAACAAATAAAATGGATCAATTCCTAAAAAAAAGGCAAACTGCCAAAACTCACACAAGGAGAACTGAATAAAATGAATGAGACTATATCTATTTCAGAAATTGAATCAATAAGCAATAACTTTCCAAAACAGAACACTACCACATGTTTAAGAAAAAATGATACCAATTCTCTATGATATGTTCCAAAAAATAGGAACTGAAGAACACGTCCTAACTAATTTCATGAGTCCAGCATTACTCAAAAGTGAAAACCAGGTAAAGAGGTTGAAAGTGAGGAAAAATACAAACCAAAATCTATTATGAACATAGGTATGAAAGTCCTCAAACACAGTGACAGCAAATAAAACCCAACAATAAATAAAATGAATTACAAACCACAGCCAAGTGAGACTCTTTTCCACATATGCAGGCACATTCCACACTTAAGACTCACTTAATGTGGCTTACGCAGTGGCTCACACCTGTAATCCCAGCACTTTGGGAGGCCAAGGCAGGAAGATCGCTTGAGGCCAGGAGTACAAGGCCAGCCTGGGCAACATGGGGAAACCCAGTCTCTAGAAAAAAAAAAAAAAATTAGCCGGGTGCTGTGATATGTGTCTGTAGCCCTAGTTACTCTGGAGGCTGATGTGGGAAGGTCGATGTGGGAGAATTGCTTGGGCCCAGGGGGCAGAAGTTGCAGTGAGCTGAGATCACACCACTGCACTCCAGCCTAGGAGACAGAGTAAGACTCTGGCTCAAAAACAAACAAACAATGAAACAAAAAACCTCACTTATTGTAATCCACCACACCAACAGGCTAAATAAGAATAACTATACAGTCATACCAATAAATGCAGAAAAAGCATTTGACAAAATTCAACACCCTGAATGAAACAACTCTGAGCCAACTAGAAACAGAGGGATACTTCATCAACTTGATGAAGAACAGCTACAAACACCTACAGCCAGCATCGCATCAGGAGCTGAGAAATGGACCATCTTCCCCTTATGACGGGGACCCAGGCAAAGGGGTTTCTTCCTGTGGTTATTACTCAACATCCTACTGAACGTCCTGTCTAGGGCCTCAAGAAAAGAAAGCCACACACACTGTAAAAAAGAAATTAAACTGTATTTGTTCACAGATTATACGATGGTTTATGTAGGAACTCCCAAAGAACTGACCAAAACAATAACAATTCCTGGTCTAATAAATAATATAATAATGTTATAGGATACAAGGTTAACATACATAAGTCACTTGCTCTTCCGTCTATCATCAATATGAGCATTTGCAATTTGAAATTAAAATCACAATATCAATTACAATAGCAGAAAAATGAGATACACATGTATAAATCGAATGGATTATGTACAAGATCTGTATCTAAAAACTATAAAACTCTGATAGAAAACAATAAAGAAAATCTAAATAAATGGAGAGATACTCTATTTTCATGGACAGGAAGATTTTTTGTTAAGATGTCAGTTCTTCCAAATTTGATGGATAGACTCAGTGCAATCTCAATCAAAGTCCAAGTGAGTTATTTTTTGGATATCATCAAACTGATTCTGAAGTTTACATAGAAAATCAAAAGGCCCATAATCGCGAACAGAATATTGAAGGAAAAGAACAAAGTCAGAGAAACAACACCAAGCAACCAACTTTAAGACTTAGAGTAAACCTGCAGTAATCAAGACAGCTTGGCATTGGTGAAAGAACAGACAAATTGACCAACAGAACAGAACTCAGAGCCCAGAAGTAAATCACGCTAACACAGTCAAGAGCTCTTTGACAAAAGAGCAAAGAGCACAGGTAATTCAACAGAGAATGGTTCGTCTTTCAACAAAATGGTCCTGGGAAAATTGAATGTTCATATGAGAAAAATGCAAAACTAGAACATTCATATTTCAAAATAATATCAAAATGTGTTATAGGCCTAAAAATAAAATACAGAACAATAAAACATTCAAAAGAAAACTTAACAGAGTATCCATAAGATCTTGCTTTGGTCATGAGTTTCTAGATCCAACACCAAAGGCGTGATCCACAAAAGAAAAAAAATGACAAACTGTCCTTTTCTAAAATCGTAAACTTCTGCTCAGTAAAAACACTGCCAAGAGAATGAAAAGACAAGCCACTGACTGGAAAAATATTTGTAAAACACATATCTGATAAAGGACTGGAATCCACACGATACAAATAGCAATCCAAACTGAGCAATAAGAAGACAAACAACTCAATTAAAAATGGGCAAAAGTTCTGAACAAACACCTCACTGGGGAGGATAAACAGGGGGCAAATGAGCACATAAAATGCAGTCCACAGTATTCGTTTTCATGTCATTCCAAATTAAAATAAAAAAAAACTCCATACCTACCGTCAGCTAAATCCAAAAACCTGTCAATAGGAAGTGATGGTTTCAGAACAGCAGGATACATTAGATTTCTTCTTTCAACTCCCAAAGTGGTGGTTTCTGTTTCACGGAATCATCCACTGGCTGGTCCTGTGTAGATCATATAAATTGGAGCTGCTGACCCAAGTCAGAGTTGTCCTAAAGTTATGTATTTCTTTCTTTTTTTTTTTTTTATAAGATGGAGTTTTGCTCTTGTTGCCCAGGCTATAGTGCAATGGCACTATCTCAGGTCATTGCAACCTCTGCCTCCAGGGTTCAAGCAATTCTCCTGTCTCAGCCTCCTGAGTAGCTGGGATTACAGGCGCATGCCCCCACTCCTGGCTAATTTTTGCATTTTTAGTAGAGACGGGGTTTCATCACACTGGTCAGGCTGGTCTCGAACTCCTGACCTCAGGTGATCTGCCAGCCTCGGCCTCCCAAAGTGCTGGGATTACAGGCGTGAGCCACCACGCCCAGCATAAAGTTATGTATTCATATAACAAACATGTCTTGCAGATTATCTTCCTAGTGAATATAATATTGGTAGAATATCACTATGTTAATTTCAAAACTTTATGAAAAAAATTCCTCTTAATAAATTATTTTGGCCTGTTTTATAGAAAAAATATATTTACATCTCCTAAACTCAGTACATTACTAACATGATGAAATGTGAGAAATATCTTGAGGTATATTAAAAATAAAATTGGCCGAACATTGCAATCATGCTTTTACATTTGGAGAAGCTAGTTAAATGTCCACTAAGGATTATGTCTCTTGAATTTTGGTGATGCTGAGAGACCATGTTCTTGCACAACAAGCAACTGTTTGTTAGCAAAATATATGTTTTAAATGATTAAGAAGATATTTTAAGCATCTTATCTCCTAAAATAATTGCTGGTTATGTATGGCTGGTTTATTGAATTTCATTTATACTGTACGTCAGTCATTAGGGGTTTAGGTTTATATGCAATGTATCATAATTTCACATTTAAAATGATAGGAAAAAGCCCCTCAACATATTCATGCAGAATCTCACCTTTTCAGGAATAAATATTGGCTCTATAACAAAAAATACACTTTATGAGGACATAGCTGTACTATTGCTATCACTACTAATTTTTCACAGCTTGCAAAGGACAACTTATTTCTTTTCAGGTTCATTTTGTCTCAACACATTATTTCTAGTTGATCTTTTCAGTAAGGATATAAATATTCTGAATGTCCCAGATTAAAGTAAGAATCATGGATTCACCTCCTCCCTCCCTGCCCAGTTCAAGTCAGGCCCACAGCTTAGCATTCCTTTCTCCTCCATATCAGATATCTCAAATGCCTGTAATAAACATTTACCCTCTGGCAATGCCAGCTTCCGATTTCATTTCTTGCTCCAATTTTAGATGACGTTTATTGAGTTGCGTTATCTACAGAAAGGAGTAACTGTAGCAGGTATTCTTTTCAAAATATTTGCCCTGCCTTATTTCTAGAAATGGAAATCTTTCCTAATTGCTTTAAAAACCAACATAGCAGTTTCATTAACTTGAGTTTCACCTTCCCCTCTGTGATAATCCCACTTCAACACTCTGCATCAGACAGTGAATGCCCTCTCATTCTTATTCTCCAGTAAGATTCCAATTCAAAGCTGTTGGTTAAAAATGCCAACATATTTGGCTAGGGCTAGGAATTTAAAATTCAGACATCATCTCCTATTAGCATCATAGCTGGTCTGGGTAGCTCATCTCACCCCTCACATTTAGGCTGCACCGAGGCTTCTCGCCTACTCCTATCTTTGGCTGGGACACCTCTTCCTTCAGTGGCTCTTGTGTTCCAGCAACTCAGCTGCCCCCATGTACACCAGGACTCAACATTGCCCATCTAAAATTTATTTTTAATAACTCACCAGATTCCAAATTCATTGTACAAAATTACGATTGTCAGGTGATGTTTCTTTCAGGAGAATAAATGATAAAATTCAAGAAATATGTATTAAGCAACAGTTCTGTTAATGATCTATTAATTGCCCTGAACACTAGAAAATAATTTCAGGGCGAGATTTGACCTTGAAGAGCTGACAGATTTAAAGGATCATTTTAGCGCATCATTTATATGCAGTTGTTAATAGAAACTAAAAAACACATTTGGAATCAGTCATTTTCAATGATGGCCATCCAGATGATTGAGAGTGTGCGAGCAGGATTGTTCTGAAAATGAAATCACCTGGGATGACCCAGACCACATCCTCCTCTCCTCCCAGCAGCTCTAGTTTCTCCAGCACGTCGTCCTGCGACGCGCCATCTTATTCATCACCGTTTCACCCCAACTTTTTTTTTTTTTTTTTTTTTTTTTGAGAAGGAGTCTCACTCTGTCTCCCAGGCTGGAGTGCAGTGGCGCGATCTCAGCTCACTGCAACCTCCGCTTCCCGGGTTCAAGCAGTTCTCCCGCCTCAGCCTCCCGAGTAGCTGGGATTACAGGTGCATGCCGCCATGCCTAACTAATTTTGTGTTTTTACTAGAGAAGGGGTTTCGCCATCTTGGCCAGGCTGGTCTTGATCTCCTGACCTCGAGATCCACCCGCCACGGCCTCCCAAAGTGCTGGGAGTACAGGCCTCAGCCACCGCGCCCGGCCTCTCCCTTTCTTCCGCTCATTTACAGCAGTACAAAACGCGATTATTTTCCCAAAGTCTGGAACTCACTTCGCCCACTAACTAGGACCCTGGCTTTTGCTGTGCTGTGCAGGACGCCTCTCAGGGCCACCTGCACCTACTGTCTGCGGTTTGTCTCCCGAGTCACCCTCCGTGAGCGTCATCTCCACCTAGCCCCTCTCCTGAGGTCACTCAGGCCTCCGCATCGCCACGTCCAAGGGGACATCCCGACCCTGACCTCCCTTGTCAGGGAGGATTTTACAGACAGTCCTTACGTCCTTCAGCGCTTCCTTCCTCCGTGTTCCAAGAGGCCACACGTGGCCCCTGCAGCCACCGCCTTGGCGGAGCCCACTCTCCTCCCGAGCCCCTTGACGTTGCCTAACCCGAGTGCCCGGGCTCCAGCCCCTTCTTTCCTCTGAACACGCCCTGCTGTCGCAACCGCATCCAGCCTCGAGGCTTTAAATAAATGCCGGGTGTCAGGGCCGCTGAGTAAGACAACAGGCCGCAAGGACGCAGCAGAGGACCCTCGGTCGATTTGCTGCGATGGAGTGAGCCAGCGGTGAGGCCTGAAGGCCCCTGTTTTATTTTCCCCTCGGAGCAGAGGCCGGGGAGGGTGCTGGGTGTCAGCACAGAGCAGAGGGCCGGTCACGGAACTGGGGACGGAGCCCTAAGGACGGGGCCTGATTTTATGGCTCTGGGAGTCCCAGGGAGGGAGAGGAGACGCGCTGGGAAAGGACCCCCTGAAGAGGCCTCGGAGTGGAGGTGTTGGGCCAGGGGTGCGGATAGGGGGTGCGGATAGGGGATGCGGATAAGGAGTGCAGATAAGGGGTGCGGATAACGGGTGTGGATAAGGGGCGCGGATAAGGGGTGCGGATAAGGGGTGCGGATAGGAGCGCGGCCGCCAGCGGGCCTGATCCTTACCTGCCGGCTCCATCCGCGGTGGACCCCAGGGCTTGGCTGTGCCCCGAGTCTGTTGTGGGGACGGTAGCATCTCCAAGAAGTCTTCCAGGAAAACCTTTGTCATCACACAGGGTTAGGGCTGAAAACCACACATAGGTTTTTAACCAAGAGCCAGGCTTTTCATCCAGATATTGAAAGACTTCCCAGTCCATCCTTATATATCCAGCGGCCTGCTTGGTTCTTCATTCTGATGTGTCCTAGATACCCCAAGCTGAATGTGCTCAAAAATGAGACCCTGCTGCTCGAATCCGGTGCCCCTACCCTCCTCCCCATTCCAGTTGTTGATACGCCCATTCTTCCAATTGTTCAAGCCAACATCTTTGATGGCTTCAGAAAATTCATGAATTTTCTCTTGTTCCCTTACGCATTCCCAATCCATCAGGACATCCTAGTTATTCAATATTTAAACCTTTCCCATGATCATCTCAGTCCTCACCAACTGCACGGGCCCCCGATGCAGGTCACCACCTTCTTTTTATAAAAACTTCCAACACAAATTGAACACTTCTTAAACACAAGTCAAAGGAAATCTTTCAAACAGCCATAATTTAAAAATCATGTATGCAAAACTTATTCAGAGAAAAAGGTGGTACATTAAACTAATGTGAATAGCGATCCCTGACTGGCATAGGGCACGTTTTGCAATTGTGCAGGCGTTTGATTTCTTTTGCTATCTTGTTTTTTAAGCCTCGCCTAGATCATAAGTATTCCACATCTGTGCTTTCTCCAGAGGCTTTTTATTTGTAGGTTGTACGAGGATTCTAATTTTTCCCCTCATCTTGAATAGCATGCTACCGTGGCTAACCGACTCATCAAGGTTAACCATTCTTCTTGCCACCTTCAAAAATTACATTCTTAGAGGAGCTGCACAACCAAGTCAGACACTGTGGGCAAATTTAATTAACTAAATGTCAGAGACCATAGTTGTTACAAATGACATAAAGGGTAAAAAACAGGCTAGGGCATAACCTTGAGAGACTTGTTATTGTTGCTGAGTGTTTTTAAAGGACTGTTCACTTGGGCATAATACTTTCAGTCCCAAGAGCGGTGAATAAAACCATGAATACTTCTATAAATAACAAATCACCTCAATTCTCCTGTAATTATCTCATGTTGAGACAACATGAAAGGTTAAAAAAAAATGAGTGGGAAGCTTTCATTCTTTTTTTCTGCCTCTGATTTTCTCTGGAATGTGAAGTTGTGCATTTAGCTGATCCCATCTTCGGTGAGGTTGCTGGATCAGCTGCAGGCTAATCAGTGGCCACATCTGGAGGGCCTGCACACAGAGCAGCCGCTCTTGAAAGAGCTACAAATCGTTTTCACCTTCCTCGTCCAACAGAGCCATAGAGAGCTGGATTGCTCCCTGAGCTAGGAGGATAAAAATATTTCCAACATCTTCCTCACTTGCCAAGCTCACCTTGACCTTGGTACTAAATATCTATGTGTGTTCCCATCTTGCTTTTGTGCTATGGCCACACCACGTGTTTCTCAACCATCCACAGGTTCTAGGCAGCATTGCCTGTTGGATATAGCACAGGTCTCATGTCCATCTGCTACTACCCCAGCTCTAACAAAGAATATTTGCTGGAGGGTGTGAGCACTCCGTTCCAACTCCTACTCTAATTGTGTTGGATTACACCAGTCATATGAGACTTCCTCCTGGCCTTCCAAACTCTTGACCCACTCCAAACATCCAGAGCTGTCTGCATCCTTCAACCTGGTTGAACAACAGAGCTTCAGTCAGGACTCCGGCTTATGGAATGAACACTTCTGGGTTATTGAACCTGAATTTCTTTCCTTATGGGTGGATGTCAACTATTATAAACTCAACCTTACCACATTTCCAGCATGGGACTTTATTATTTCAACTCTATTTCGACCAAAATAATACTTTAGAAATGCTGCAAAGTATAAGGTTTTGTCAAATTGTCACTATTTTATTTTTACATTTGCCTGCTGTTTTTACCACAACAACACTGCAACAAACATGAATGCTTTTAACTAAAAATATTTAGATTGTGCATTTCTTTCCGGGTTTTTACACACAACAATCCAATCAACATATGTCAACAGAAATCTATCATCATCTCTGTTATTTCTGACAGACTTCACGCCAGTGAAAGAGCACTGTGTAAAATGAAATGTTTAAAAAAACTCAGAGAATCCAACCTACTGCCTTCTACAACTGGGGAAGAGCTGTTCTTATTTAAGGAATTCATTGACTTCAGAAATATGCAACTAACATCTTAAGTTCCTCTTGTTCAGATGACTTCACTCATTCTTTATCAGCCAAGGTGAACAGAATCTAGGAATGGGGTGTTTCTTTCTGTCGGCTACACTCTAACATGACTCAGTGACAGCAAATACTAATATCTAACAATTTTGTGGCAGTGTTTTCCATGATATGTTGTATCCTGACTGAATTCTCATGAAAGCCTCATGAATCCACATGTCTGCAGCCTCATTTTCAGAGCAGGGAGCTGAGGCACGGAGGTTGGGTGCCTGGCTGAAAGTCCTTCCATGAGTAAATGGTAGAACTAGGATTCCAGCCCCATCCTCTTGGCTCCAGAGCCACCTTCTCAGCCGTCACAACACACCTGTGCCAGACATGAGGCAGCCACGCTCTAGCAAAAGTTTAGATGTACAACAAATAGAAAACAACACTGCTTCCTGTGGAACATCACTTACTTGGTCATAAGCAACAAGGAATGCCCCTTGCAAATCTTCCTGAGTTGTGTCATCTGCAAATATCAGGAAATCATCACTACAGCCGACGGAAGCAAAAAATGAGTCCATTTAGTTCAATTCAATAAGGCAGGGAATCAGGACAGACATTTAAGGACTAGCATTTACCTGATAATTTAATTACAAGGAAGCAAAAAAAATAATAAATTGGGATTTTCAAATAATAAAAGACACAGCTCTCTAATTATAAACATTTTTTAATATTAGTTGAAAAATTAAGGTTAATATTAGTTGAAAAAATAATATTGGTTGAAAAATTAATTAATTTTAATATTAGTTGAAAAATTAAATTAGTTGAAAAGTTAAGGTTTCTGAGCTAAATATTTACCAGAGAATATTAAAAGAGATTTAATTGTTTTAATCACAGAAGTGTCATATCTTCTTTGTAATAAATATAGAAAACTACAAAAACCAAATGGACTCTGTGTCTGCCTGCATATAGCACACAGTTTAGTGAATGCTTTTTAAATATTCCCAAGATAAACTCATCTATATAAATTTCATAACTTGTAAGTTCTTATTCTACATCCTCAAATTTTTCTTGGAAAGGGTGAAGAACTTTCTATTGAAAAAGCAGAACTGGCATTCCTTAATGTGAAATACTCTAAGAATTCTAAGCTATTGCTTAAAAAATAACAGTGATAACTCTTACAACAATGTCTTCACTAACAAGTATCTGATTAAAACAAATAAAAAAAGAAGTAAAAGAGGGAAGGAAGGAAAACAGGAAGGATGAAGAAAGAAGAAAGAAAGGCAAAAAAGAAGTAATTGAAATTGCTTTTCAACTTGACTTTGGGAAAAGCAAATTTAGGAGAAAATAATCTAATAAGAAATAGCCAAACAACATTGTCTTTGGAAGTACAAAGTAGCCCCATGTCCCAAACCATTTTATAAACCATAATTTATATCTATTAGTGCAGAAATGTATAGAAAAAATGCTATTAAAATGTGAACTCTAACTCCATTCAAATACCTAAAATATGCTTTATTTCAAATGTAAATGGATAAATAATTTTTGAATGATTTGTCAAAATATTGTATGGGACAAAACAGGCTTGAAGTTCAAGTAATAGAGAAATAGTCATAGTCAAAACATATATTTAATGCAGGAGTCTTGTTAATGACTCTTGCAAAAAAAACTAATCTATTTCTTCTACTTCACCACCTGTCATGGGGTAAATTGCATCCCTCCAAAGATGATATTGAGAAGTCCCAGCTCCCAGCACCTCAGGTGTGACCTTATTTGGAAACAGAGTCTTGGTAGTTGTGATGGGTTAAGTTGAGTTCATGTTGGAGCAGGGTGGGCCCCAAGCCAAGGTGCCTGGTGTCTCATAGAAAGACAGCCACAGAGGCTGGGCGCGGTGGCTCACGCCTGTAATCCCAGCACTTTGGGAGGCCGAGGCGGGTGGATCACAAGGTCAGGAGATCGAGACCATCCTGGCTAACATGGTGAAACCTCGTCTCTACTAAAAATACAAAAAATTAGCCAGGCATGGTGGCGGGCACCTGTAATCACAGCAACTCGGGAGGCTGAAGCAGGAGAATGGCGTGAACATGGGAGGCGGAGCTTGCAGTGAGCTGAGATCACACCACTGCTCTCCAGCCTGGGTGACAGAGCAAGACTCCATCTCAAAAAAAAAAAAAAAAAAAAAAAGAGAAAAGAAAGAAAGACAGTCACAGAAAGTCAGAGACAGATGGGAAAGCCCCAGGTGACAATAAAGCTCAGGTTGAAATTATACAACTGCAAACCAAGGAACTTCAAAGATGGCAAGAAAACCACCAGAAGCTTGGGAGAGGCAAGGAAGGATTTCCCCAGCGTTTCAAAGGAAGGATGTCCCTGTGGACCCTTTGATGCTGGGCTTCTGCCTCAGAACTGGGACATGATACATTTCTGTGGTTTCAAGCCACCCAGTTTGTGATACTTTGTTACAGAGTCCTGATGTATCGGGATGTATCATCATGCAAATGAAGAAAAAGAGGAAAAGGGATTAATATTGATTAATTCTTTGGAGTGGACAAGGTTTCTTTATTGTTAGTTAATTAATCTTGAAGACATTGCCTTCTGCTTTGAAGCCATCTCTTTCTAATTCAGTCAGCTTACTTTTGTGATATATCTCTCTAGCAAAGGGGGAGCACTGGACAAAAATGTACTATGCAAATTGTGCCTTCTTCACTGGTCTCATTTACTCCAGCTTCCTTCATTCCACCTGCCTAAGATAAGAACATTATGCAGAAATTCACGTGCTTTGGTAATGTCAACAGAGCAACTTATCAAAGAAGACACATCCTTGGAGAATTTTTCTCTCATTGACATGGGGGACTCCCCCACTTTCTTCTCAATTCCCAGATCTAACTGGTTCTTTCCATTTTTCTTCCCTGACTTCCTTCTTATCTAACCTTGGTCAATATTTTATCTATTTTAATGGAATCCTACTCTGCTAAGAGGTGGATTTCCCTGTTTCTGGTATCATGTGCCTTGGGATAGAAGAGGATAATTCCTATCCAGCCAGCAATGTATCGCCTAATAGAAGTCCATCCAGAAAATACGAATCTGTGATGAAGGGAATTTAGAGAGAACAGCAGACAGGATTAAGGTTCCTGTGATGTTGATTTATGAGACAATGATAGAGCAAACTAAACATTCACAGAAGGCTATCTTTTTAGACCAGTACACAATAAGTTAATAGAAATATGCTTTCATATAAAGTATGAAGGCTCTCTTAGTTCAGGTTCACCCCAAAAGAGGACACCCAGACAAAGATGTGAGGTATGGCTTTTATTGGGAAGTGACCCTGGGACATCCTGGTAAAAGTTAGGGAGTTATTCAGGAAAGTAGAGACAGCCAGTATTGGCTTCAGTCCAAAGCCAGTATTCACTGTGAGTAAGTGGACCTCAGTCCAGGCTGGAGATCCACGGACGTCAGTTTGGACCCCTTGGCTGGGATCTGCCCACTCCGGGGCTTGTGGGAGCTGGGAGCATTATGCACCAGCTCCCTTCGGGTTAGGCTGTTAATTCTCAAGGGCTTCTGGCTTCTGCGCTGCACCTGGGCCCTGGCAGGCCAGGCTGCTGTACACTGTAACCATCGCTGAGGGGCCCAGGGTCTTCGGTGAGCACCCCACAGCCTGCTCCAAGAGCGCCAGCTCCTGAACCCTTTGTTGAGCAGAATTATCCTATAAAGCTTATGTCAAAGCCATTGTTTAAAAATAAGTCAGGGCACACAAGCATTACTTGTTAAAAGGTAGGTTAAACCGTTTTGAAATGTGTGAAATCCCTAAAGAGGCAACTCTGGGCAATTCCCACCAGGAAAACACGGAAAAACCCTGAAGTCCAAAACGTCCGTTAATTCAGAGCTTGACCTGGGATTGTTTTCAAGTCAGAAGGTAACAAATCAAACACATCAGCATGAGTTTAGTTTTCTAAGCCCCTCCATACCTGTCTGCCATCCTCATTTTATAAGTTGCTTCTCTTGGATCCCAAATCCCGGAAGCTGGCACTGGAAAAGCACCTGGGATTGATGTTTTTGCATTTGTTTTATTGTCTCACTTGTTGTTCATCACTATTATACCCATAGTCAGTATTAAAGATTGTTTATTTATTTATTTACTTACTTATTTTTGAGATGGAGTCTCGCTGCAACACCCAGGCTGGAGTGCAGTGGCACAATCTTGGCTCATGGGAACCTCTACCTGCTAGGTTCAAGCAATTCTCCTGCCTCAGCCTCCTAAGTAGCTGGGATTACAGGCATGTGCCACTATGCCCAGCTATTTTTTTTTTTTTTTGTATTTTTTAGTAGAGACAGGGTTTCACCATATCGTACAGTCTGGTCTCAAATTCCTGACCTCAAGTGATCCGCCTGCCTCGGCCTCTCAGAGTGCTGAGATTACAGGCGTGAGCCACCGCACCTGGCTTAAAGGTTGTTTATAAACGTCTTTACTTTACTTTGTAACCATTGAATCCACTCCCACTCCTCCTCTTCATGCCTCAGCTTCTGTGACTGACAGTCACCTGCACGCATCTGGATCCTGGGCCCTAGAAACATAACAGGTGGGCTTTGTTTTGGCCCACAGAGAATCCATAGATGTCTAGAGCTCCCCAATTTGTTTGGTGCTTAGAGCAAAGTAGGCTGCACTCTAATCTCTGTCCCTTGGGACTAAGCCCCACCCCCCTTCTTACCTGCTCTCATTCCCTGGGGGCCCATTTCCTCCACATTCACCAAAAATAGCTAAGTGTTCCATGAAACTGTGTCTACAGTTTGGAGCTCTAAAGAAAAAAAACAAAGGAAGCATATATCCCTTGACAATCCCTATAGAGTAGATTTGAGAAAAGTCTGTGATCCTGGACACATACCCAGAAAACACACAGTCATCTGTCTGTAGCTTACATTCTTCCCCCTTGATAGGCTTAGATGTTGAGTTCCTGCTCACTTAGCACAGTGGCTGGTGCAGAAAAAGTGATCAATAAGTATTGATTGATTGATTAATAAATGAACAAATAAGTGAATGAATGAATTCCCAACCAGCCAGTAGGAAAATTTTAAAAGGCAAAAAAGGAGAGGTTAGATGTGTCCAATTTTACTACTTTCCAACAATAGTACATATGTGGTCAATTTGTTAATTATTCAAGAAAGGAGGAATAAAGAATGGCAGAAAAATCATACGTTTTTAGTACAGAAAGGATATGTGCTGGGTGAGGTACTGCTGAGAAGAAGGGGCAAGACAAGGAGCACCGGGTGTGGGAGTGCTCCCCGGACAGAAGGCGTCAGGACAAGACAAGGAGCACCAGGTGTGGGAGTGCTCCCCGGACAGAAGGCGTCAGGACAAGACAAAGAGCACCGGGTGTGGGAGTGCTCCCCCGACAGAAGGCATCAGGGCAAGACAAGGAGCACTGAGTGTGGGAGGGCTCCTGAGACAGAAGTCATCAAGACAAGGAGCACCGGGTGTGGGAATGCTCCTGGGACAGAAGGTGTCAGGGCAAGGCAAGGAGCACCAGGTGTGGGAGGGCTCCCGAGACAGAAGGCGTCAGGGCAAGGCAAGGAGCACTGAGTGTGGGAGTGCTCCCCCGACGGAAGGCGTCAGGCATAAGAACAGAATCACGGGCCAGGTGCAGTGGCTCACGCCTGTAATCCCAACACTTTGGGAGGCAGAGGCAGGCAGATCACGAGGTCAGGAGTTCGAGACCAGCCTGGCCAACATGGTGAAACGCCATCTCTACTAAAAATACAAAAATTAGCCAGGCATGGTGGCACATGCCTGTAGTCCCACCTACTTGGGAGGCTGAGGCAGGAGAATCGCCTGAACCTGGGAGACGGAGGTTGTGGTGAGCCAAGATCATACCACTGCACTCTAGCCTGGGTGACAGAGTGAGACTCCATCACACACACACAAAAATAAAATAAAATAAATAAATAAACCAACAGAATCATGTTGTTCTGTGGTGACTGAGACGAAGAGAGAGTTTTGTAAGCTGCTTGGCGAGGGGACTTCTGAATAAAAGGGGGGACCTGCAGGGAGCAAAGGGAGAAAAAGAGTAAATTATATGGCTAAAAACCACAGAAGTGGAGTTAAGCCCTTGTTTAGAAGGATCCCCTAACTTTCCCCTGGTCTCTTCCCTAGAGATATGATGTCTGTGGGATTGGCCATGCAGCCACTGGAAGCTGTAGTTTGGATGGTGGCTGTAGAGACCCTTGCAGAAAGGGCACAGACACAGGTTGACTCTGGCTGGGTTCACGCGTCACGTGCCTGAAATCTCCACCTTCTATGTCCTGACTACAGCCGCAGAATCCCCAGCCCCATTCCTCGGGAGACCACTAGGTTATCTTCACACGTAATGGGAAAACGGTGTGAGGTTTACCTAAGACAACAACAACAAAAACCTGGAATAAAGAAAAAAATTCTGCCTTTTGAAAACATGCTTTACCATCTCGTCACACAAATACTTTACCCATAAATTATGGATATTGTTTTTCCTACACTCTCTTCACACAAGATGTATGAACATTTTAGAGCTATGTTAAAATGTGTTTGGATTTCCCAGGAAAAGTATGATTATTTACTTTTTCTCGTCTAGTAATGTCTTCAATTTGTCAGTAGCACATAGAGCAGCCAAGAAGAGGTACTTAAGTGTGTCAGCAAAGCAGAGTACATTTACACCCATTTAAAAACCGTTCGAGATACTAGCTCATGAAACAAAAGCAGCAGCAGGATTAAAGAATTAATTAAACTTTACAAATAGAGCTCCAAGTAGATGTGGAATGGCTGTGAGCATGAAAAACAGTATCTTCAGTACTCACTGGTTTCTAAGAAAAGTGAATTAACTACTTGAAGTGAAGAAGAAGGAATAATCTTGAAATGCGTGAAGAACAAAGAACTACGAGCTCTAAAAAGAAATGGGTAATTGCTACCGTGAGGTACTACACATGTTTGAATATACAACACAAACGTAATTGCTACATACAGTCAACATTGGAGTAATTTGGTGAAATGAAGGCTATTTAACTAGAAAAATGGATACCAGAAATTTTATTGAGAATGTTTTCATATAATTGGGATACCTGTGACCTAAATCTAACAAGGAATATTTTGCATAGTTTTAATGAGGTTATGGAGTAGAATCACAATAATAGATCACTTTAGAAACAGACTTTAAGGAAATGATTTATTGGTATATAAGTCTATGCTTAAACAACCATGGAAGAAGGGAACTCAGAACATACTTCCTGTTGGTATTAGAGTTCGTGGGGTGGGCATGCTGGGTTTCACCTGTGGCTGAGAGGTCATCACTTCCTGTTGGTATTAGAGTTCGTGGGATGTGCATGCTGGGTTTCACCTATGGCTGAGAGGTCATCACTTCCTGTTGGTATTAGAGTTCGTGGGGTGGGCATGCTGGGTTTCACCTATGGCTGAGAGGTCATCACTTCCTGTTGGTATTAGAGTTCATGGGGCGCGCATGCTGGGTTTCACCTATGGCTGAGAGGTCATCTTGAGAACGATTTCATGAACAACATCCTTTGGCTCCTCCTGGGAGGTGTTCTAATTGTCTTTGCTTTACGTATCTGTTAAGGAAGACACAATGAAAACAATGTCCCCCTCATCTCTCCCTGGAGGTATGATGTCAGCAGAGTTGGCTCTGCAGCCTTCGCAAGTTTTAGTTTGGATCAGCAAGTTGGAGATTAGAGACATAACTTTACACCAGGTCAGGCTAGCACAAATTGATAGAGCAACCACTCATAAAGGGATGGAAAAAAATCACCTAATTCCCATCAGAGTTGACCTACATTATGTAGTTTTATTTAATGTCCTCTAGTTACTTGATTTAATTCATGCAATGCAATTATTTGATATTGCTATCCAACCTAATATACCAAACATATTGACAACAACATTTTTCTGGTATTTTTTCCGCTAGGCTTAATGCTAACAAGCTGTTGCCCCTGTGTGAGTGCCAAGATGAGCCCAGCAATGGGACCCCCTGCTTAGGGAGGACCCTGGGTTACCAGCTTGTTCTGGAGTCCCACGGGAGAGCACCCCGCTATTGACCACTCAGTTCTCACACCACTTGTCTGTATTTGAACTACTTTGAAACCTTTATATAGAGAGTATGTCATGGCATTCTTTGGTTTTCTTGTGCACCCCAAAGAGGGCATATTTTACATATTTGTTTCACCTCTGTTCTTTTCTCAGCTTCCCAAGACAATTAGGTTACCACTCACGGTACTAAGTCACTTTTTTAATAATACTGATTCAAAGTCTTAGACAACAGTCGTATGCAATGAAATACTTTTCTTAAACTATAAATTACAAAAAAGTAGTGTCGTACCTTAATAACAGCAAGAAAAATAAAAGCTCAGCATGGTACACACAGAAGTCATGTGGGGCCTATCAGATGCTGATTCTCCATGGGTTAAGGCTCACTGTTTCCTGCATCTGACTTGGGGTTTGGATGAGGACCCCAAAGCCTCACCCAAGCTCTCTCCCACACGTTTAATCACATTACTATCTGATTCCCACCAAAAAATAAAAATAGAATTCAGATTTGGGCCATCACTGATGTTCAGAGCAATAAATGCATGCCTGATGGTCAGGAACAGAGCCCTTCCAAGTGCAGCTTGCAGTAAAGGATTGCTTGCAGAAAATTCTAAAGGGATTAGGTGTCTCAACTGGTTCTGATGCAACATCATGCCCTGGAGATTCCAGGGGAATGGGAGATTCTCTGTATAATATATAACTGACAGCATGGGCCAGTCCTCCTTGAGTGCAAAGTGAGTTGTGTATATATGCGCTTGCTTTGTTTTCATCTTTTAACTCTTTAGGGCTTAGCTCTGGGTTTCTCTTGGAATGAATATAAATAGAAGACAGAGCCACCCACCTCCGCCTGACTTAAAAAGTGGCTTCCCGATTGCCTCAGTGAAGAGATAAATAAAGATAAATCCTGGACTTGATGATGATGATGTGGCGGGAACATTAGGGACCGGTGTGAGGACTCAGAGAATATGAATTGGTGGACTTCACGTTTTCCCTGAGAATGGCGGCTACAGTGGGGAGGCAGCCAGGCCCATCCAGCAAGGATATTCATGGAAGTCAATTCTGAATATAATCCCAGAAAATGACTGGACTTTAATCAAATTGAAAGAAACTCAGGAAAAGTAATATTTGAAATATTAACATAATTGAAAACATAAAACAACATGTTCACACCCATTAGCTGGTGAAGCTTGAGACACTCTGCTTATATCCCAAATATTGGTTGACTAATATTTGATGTCATCTTTAAGCTAGAACAAAACAAGTCCTAGAAAGAGTAGAACCAAGTTCTAGAATATTGACTGAAGCCAGAACTGTCCCTGTCCATCTTGTTTTGCATTTCTTTCCACCTTTCTGTGGAAATTATGATATTAATCTCCACCTTCGTTAAACTTGGGGGAGTTCAATGATACTGAGTGTCCCCAGCTTTCCCTGAGGCAGTAGTTTGACCATGTGTTATTTTTGGTGACATAATGGCCGTGTTAATGACACGTGTGGAAAAGCCATTGGTCAGCAGGCAGGAGTCGTCAGCACCTCCAAGACGCACTGCTGCATAAGGCAGTGAATAAATATTTAATGAGACCCTTTTCCATTAAAAAATAATGGATTACACTCAACTCTAAAGATCAACTTGAATTACTTCAGCAAAAGCCATCCACATTAGTCACGAGAGAAATGGACTCCTCATCAGTGGTATAATAAACTTACGGTATTTGGAGATGAACATCTTTGTGACTTTGAGTCTGCTCATCTCCTGCTATTCAGAAGGCTCAGCTGAAAACGGAACTTTTCCCATGAGGCCTCCTCCTCCCCAGAGCCCATGTCCCGGGGAGAACTCGGAAAATCAACACGATGGGCCCCTGGAGGGGGTCTGAGTGGACGATGTTGGGATGATCTTAACTATGCTTTGGTTAGTTGCTCATCACCTCTGATTAAATAAAATAAAGTTTTCCTACATCCTGTTTTGCCACAGGCACGGGTACAGAGCAAACCTAAGCTGGTGTTGACCATAAATAGCATAAGCTGCCTCCATGCACTGCTAATGGGACCGTTGACTGAATTCTTTGGAGCCTGGGAAGCTCTGGAGGCCGAGGCAGCACTCACCATCGGGGCCTGGGCCTGCGTGGGGTGCCTACGTCCGAAGGTTCTAACTTTATGCGGATACATCCAACCTTAAGGATCTGCCATGGGTGTCTTCTTGTTGGGGGAGGCATCTTGCCTCCTCTCTTGCACTCTCCAATCTCTGTGATCTAAAGGACACATCCTCCGTGGAGCCCTTCTGTCAACTGAACATTAATGCTACAGAGAAAGTGTTCACTGCTGGCCAAAAGGAACCATTAGGACTGGATGGGAAGAAAAGCTTGGCCTTCCTTATTTTTAGGCCTAAAGTCATAGTCATAAGGATCGTCATTCACTTATCAATCTCAGTTTGCCTCCCCTCATTTTCTCTGCGTGAAAGATGTTACTCTGGGGTTGGGGAGGAGAGCAGGCAGAAGCTGGTGACGCGGAAGCCCTGGGAGAAACCGAGGAAAGCGCTGGGCGAGTCTCTCACCACGCTTTGTGCCTGTATTCCTACTGCGTTTACCAGCTACCTTTCCGCTCTTTGCAGAAGTGGCCATTTCACTTCAGAAGTGCATTTCAGGTTTTTCGGCTCCGCCACCGAGAGACATTTATTTATGTTGCCGTCGGCCCTTTTATGATGTGTGCTAGCACCTGGCAGGTGCTCGGCCTTCCGGAGGACGCGATGTTATGCTCCGATGTTACTCACTGCTATGACGGCTTTCATCAAGTGGGCGGTGGGGCTGACGCGAATATTTTTGAGGAAATGATTACTTCGAAGGTCTGTGCCTGAATCCTTCCCGTGGAGGGGGAAGAGAGGCTCACAGGAGTGGGTGTTATGATGGGGCCCTGAGTGTGCTGTGCACCCTGTGTTGTAAAGTAGACACCACAGGAAAAAAATTAACTGGGCGAGAAACAGAAGGGGATTCAAGATTCAAATGCATACTTTCAGTTCTGTCCTCATTTGTATTGCTTTAAGCCGAAACATTAGATTTGTGTCATAAATGTACTAATAAAAATATACCTGAATGCAGAAAGCAAAAATATGCCTGAATTCCAGAAGACTGGAATATGACTTGCAATTTTCTGAACTTACCAGTAAGCTTAGGGTTCCAAAACTGACAATACAATGGCTGTAGGATTGGCTTTAAAATGATCTAGTGATGTAACTTCGAACTCAATCCCTTACGAAGCCAGTTTTCTCCAGGTTCTTTGGGAAATGCCTGAACGGATTCAACATTCTAACAAAATAATTTGGGTTCATTGTGCAATTTACTTTCTAAGGAATGACTCTCAAAGCAAAATATTAGTATGAAGTTTATAAAAAATGAAGCTGTTCCTTTCTGCGGTTTTCCTGGAAGCAGGCCTCACTCGCAGAAAATGACAGCATTCTCTGTGGCATTGATATTTACTGCCTCTGTGTTCCAGGTCACGTGGGGGTTTCCTGCCATCTGCCCACATAACTTGGTACCACTCCCTTCGTTAATTTCATTTTTCAGTTACCCAGTTTTATAAACAACTGTTTCCTGCTTGGGCCTCGATTGTCATACATGAGAAGACGAAGCCAACAGTGTAACGTATCATGATGCTGAGCCCCACAAACAAGGATTTGTATTTTCTTGAATAAAAATGAACAAAATTATTACCCAAAGAATAATTTAAAATTGTAGATATTCAACCGAGTTTTTCTATTTCAAATTTTCCCTGTACCATGTATACTCACTGAGTTTTGGAAGAATAAAAATGAAAAATAATAAAACTGTCAAATATGTTTGACAGTTTTATTATTTTTCATTTTTATTTCAAAAACTCAGTGAGTATAAATAGTATACAAATATGTTTATGTGACATGTTAAACAGAACAATAAGAAATAAAACTAATTATAGAATTAACATTTCAAACAGATTTAAAAATTTTTAGGAATTCAGGTGATTTTATTAAATCACCATTTCATGTGTGTGTTTCTATGGAATCTGCATTGAATAAGTTAGGCAGTAATGATTATAATGGAATGCTATCAAGTTATTCTTTTAAGTATCACATTGTACTCACTGTAGACATTGGGTCAAAATGCAGAAGATTGTCTGAGTTTAGTTTTGTTTTTAGGCATTTAATCAATTTATCAATCCTATGTTGGTCATTAAATTATATGACTCTCAAACCACCAATTAAAAAAAGAAGATTGTTAGCTATATGAGGAGCTTGTTCACAGACACAATGATCAATAATGGATTCAAATGACTTAAATTTTTTGGAAAGCCATAATAATCTCAGGCTATTAATAGAAGAGCTCAAATGCAAAATGTGATGGGGCCCAACTCTGCTTCCCCTCCTTCTATCCAGGGGTTTCTGCTTGTATCATGTGTACCCTCATGATCCTGCAACAGATTTACCCTCTCTTTTCATCACTTATTTGTGTAGTATATACAATCTGTAGTCATAGACAAATGCAGTTATTATTTTTTATTATTATTTTTTGAGACAAGGGCTCACTCTGTTGCCCAGGCTAGAGTGCAGTGGTGTTGTCTTGGCTCACTGCAGCCTCACCCTCCCCATGCTCAGGTGATCCTCCCACCTCAGCCTCCCGAGTAGCTGGGACCACTGGTGTGTGCCACCATGCCTGGCTCATTTTTGTATTTTTTTGTAGAGATGGGGTCTTGCTATGTTGCCCAGGCTAGTCTTGGACTTCTGGGCTCAAGAGATCTGCCCACCTCAGCCTCCCAAAGTGCTGGGATTACAGGTGTGACCCACCACACCCTGCCAAATGCAATAATTTTATCAGGTGCTTTGGTATTCGTCTTGATTTTTCAGGGTCTAAATTTTGTTGCTTATCGTTGCTGTGTGTTTTGAATAACCACCTTCTTCATGTCAGCGGATCCAGCCTATCCCATGATGACACATGGAGGTGGGGCCCATGAACACAGGAGGGGCTCCTCAAAGCAAAGACTATTCATTTAAAAAATAAGTACGGGGCAGACTTAGTGGCCCATGCTTTATAATCCCAGCACTTCGGGAGACTAAAGTGGATGGATCATTTGAGTCCACGAATTTGAGACCAGCCTGGACAGCATGGTGAAACCCCATCTCTACTAAAAGTATATATATGTACAAAAATAAAATAAGTTTTAGAAAAGGGCACATGGGTCCTGGGAAGTTAGAATCCTTACTTCTGTGTTTCTTCTTCACACATATCTGTTCTAACGGCTGCACCCCTATTGTGTCATTACCACCCTGACGAGTTCAAGTTATCATAATAGATACACAAAGATTATTTTACCTGTATTAATATTTGAATAAATAAATATGCATTTATGGGGCAAATTCAGATACTGTTTGCTTACAACACAAATATTTGACATGACTAGGAAATAAAACATTAAAGGCAATATATTCTAAATAGAAGACGATAATTATCATCTCTCTCTCTCTACACACACACGTACATGCGCACACACACACGTACATGTGCGCGCGCACACACACACACACACACACACATGAAAAAACAAGAAGAATAAAAAAGAACATCCATGGGCACTGCTGGAGTTCTGCCCTGGGGGGATTTCCGTTGTCCGTTGTCCTTTGGGGACACCTCACAGGGGCTTGGTGCTGCCAGCATCCACTCCTGTGTGCTGCCTGCATGCCGTGCAGAACCATCTGTAACTCAGGCCCAGGTCTTCTCTTCCTCTGTCAACGGATCCTAGGGATCTCCCCATGAGGCCACAGGTGCAGGTTTGGGGAAAGAAGGCAGTGAGGCTGCAGTGGGGCCCATGGGCTCTTAGGCCACTGCCTCGTGTGACTTACTTGTGTCTCCAGGACCTGCTCAGCACTGGTCACGCTCTGTTGCTTCTGTTTGAGGATGGAGGGTAGCTGTGCACCCCCAGTGTTGTAGAGTGGTGGGTCAGCGTCCCCAGCTTATGCTGGGCAGCTCAGGTCACACAGCAAGTAGGTGGTCCATGGTCAGGTGGCCAGCTTCTATTAAAACCCAGTAACAGGACAACACTGAGCTTTCTCTCAACAGGAGAGTAGTCATCTGGGATGATGGCAAGGCCTTCCTCCAAAATCCTAAAGGCCTTCACTACAATTCAGCAAAGGCCCCATGCAGCATCCCTCTCTGCCACAGACACTTCAGGCTCCGTTGGGTCTGCTGGATCACATGGCCTAAGCAGCAGATCAAGCAGCACATCAGCTTGCACGAAGCTGGATTTGCTACAGACTTTCTGATTGTTCTGGGCCCCAGAACGTACACACACATGCACACACACACACACACACACACACACACGAAGAGAGGTCTAGGGAGACAAAGTCCTTCCTTCCCAGGAGAGCTCAGTCTGCACTCAAGAACTGCAGCTATTTAGAGAAGGACACATTGTGAAGAATAATCTGCTTTGCTTGAAGTCCATGGATGCAAGTGTCAATCATATCACAAAATGTCTTCAAGGCCACGTCTAGACTGTTGTTGGACCAAATGGCTGGACACCATAGCTCAGCCCAGTTGACATATAAAATTAGCTGTCACACAAATCTAATTCAGAAATGCCAAAATTGGCCAGGCACAGTGGTTCATGCCTATAATCCCAGCACTTTGAGAGGCCAAGGTAGGCGGATCACTTGAGCTCTGGAGTTTGAGAGCAGCCTGGGCCATCTCTACAAAAAAGAAAAAAAAAATTGGAAATGGCTGTAGTCCATGCCTGTAGTCCCAGCTACATGGGAGGCTGAGGTGGGAGGATCACTTGAACCCAAGAGGTCGAGGCTTCACTGAACCATGATTGCACCACTGCACTCCCGCCTGGGCAACAGAGTGGGACCCTGTCTCAAAAATAAAGAAAGAAAGAAATGTAAAAATTAAGAGCAATGCATCAAATCCAGCTTAGAATTACTGTAGCGATGCAATGATGATTCAAGCTAAAAAATGATTTTGTTACATTTCAATTAACAAACTAGAAATAAAATGACATAGTCATATCTTTAGATCAATAGATGCAGAGAAGAAAATGAGACCCAAGTGGCATAGTCTAGTCTCTTCTGCCGTATTTCAGCTGACCCACAAGCAGGTGCTGGAGCGCCTGAGGCCCGTCCAGCCTCAACCGCTGACCCTCCGCCTGGCACGCTGGGTAAGCTCTCATTCTCTCAAGTCACTGGGCTTCAGTGTGGCTCCCTGTGCAGCACTATTTTAGCAGTAAATGATGGACACGTGGTGCTGTACGGAAAGAAGGGTCTCTTCACCTCTGACACAAAACGTAACAGAAAAGTAAGTAACAGGTTGTCTTTAAATCTACCTGTGGAAGTTAATAAAGTTAACAAAATAAAATATGTCCATGACATCAGCGTAGGTACAATTTATAAAGAGAAGCCAAGGCATTAAGCATTTCCATTTATCAAAAGACAGTATTAAGAAAGTCAAATGTCAAGCCATAGCCTAGAAGATTTTTCAACACTTAGAATCAACAATGAATAGCATTCAAAATAGACAAAGTATTTTTACAGAGCAATACAAAGATAAATAACCCATTATAATTTAGGGGAAATTCATAAAGAGTACTGCACAAAAGACTGTTTTCAAGTGGTCAGTAAGTGTATATAAAAGTACTCAAACACACTATCCCTCAAAAAATGCAAATTAAATCTGCAGAGACATAACCAGCACACACCTGCCTCAGTGGATGAAAATGTAAGAACTGTAATATTAAACGTTGCCTGGAGATAAGTGCAGTGAAAGTTTCCTACTCACAAGAACACACAGCACTTACACGGTGAAAGATCACAAGAATACCCAGCACTCACACACTGAAAGATGCTTTAATCTGGAAAAAAGGGAGATGCATTTTTCAGCTGCATACATTTGCATTCTCATCCAATATTGCAGACTTGAACAAATCCATTTGGATAATTCTATTATCTCCTTCTTTCAGGCCCATCCCATTTTCAAGTCACTGGCCTCTAAACATATAATCCCAAATGAAGACAGATCAGAAATCAATGTTATTATACTTTTTTTTTTTTTTGAGACGAAGTTTCTCTCTTGTTGCCCAGACTGGAGCACAATGGTGTGATCTTGGCTCACTGCAGCCTCCGCCTCCTGGGTTCAAGCAACTCTCCTGCCTCAGCCTCTGGAGTAGCTGGGATCACAGGCACGCGCCACCAAGCCCAGCTAATTTTTGTATTTTTAGTAAAGACGGGGTTTCACCGTGTTGACCAGGCTGGTCTTGAACTTCTGACCTCAGGTGATCCACCCACCTCGGCCTCCCAAAGTGCTGGGATTATAGGCGTGAGCCACCGTACCTGTCCCTATACTATGTTCTAAGTGTGAAAACAGGAGTGCAATATCGTGTCTTGTTTCTGAACTAAGCGTAGGGACGCAGCCTGGAAAAAGAAATAAAATTTAGTGGGTGGTCTGGAGAAATACACATAAAATAAAATAAAATAAAATAAACTCCGCTGCATATGGCTGTGGTGGTGGTTGGTGCCAGTAGCTGATTCATCTCCGTGGGCGCTCATGACCTGTTGAAGTGCGGCTCCGAGCTGGCTGCTTAATGAATATGTAAACCCCCGACCACACGCGCCTCGAAGCGGCAATAAAGAGGCCTCGGACAATCCGTGGACTAGAGCTCCAGCCCGCACTGGGTCTCAGGAAAACATATTTGCTGAGGTGCGTTAATCTCCCTACATAACTCCCCAGAGTTTATAATTAGTACTGCCCTTGTATTCCACCTTACTGAGTGTTTTTGAAAGGCTTTTGAATTTAGGTTATGAGTTTTATGACGGGCATATTATTAAATGTGAACTACTGATACCCAGAGCTTCATGTGCATCACTGCCAGGGGATTTCACTTCTGTCTGCCTGGCGGGGCATTTTGCTGCCTGTAATAGAGGAGTTTTTGAAGAGATGCAAGTCTGCTGCAAAGTAACACTTCCTTTCTCTGTAATTAAAAATGGGGGGAATGCACAGCCATTTACTGCAACGGTGAGAACCCCCCCAGCCCCGAGTGGATCTGCGCAGTCGCCAGACGTTCCGGGTGCACTCAGGGCCGCCATCCCTAGCCCATCATTTCACCCAGTACCCCGTCTCTGCACTCACTACAGCCCCAGCGCATCTTCCCCCGTAGCTGCGGTGTTCCTGCTTCCCTTTGCAGTAGTCAGATGAGACATCGCCCAGACCAGCAGCACTTCCAGGCCTCAGCCTTCCCCAGCACCCCGAGTTCCACCTTCCCAGGCAGCAGGGAGGGGCTGGCCCTGCTTCTCCAGAAAAGCCCTTAGCCTTCTAGAGGGCGTTACCCGGCGGGCCTCTGGTTCCCCTACCCCACCAACTCTTCTAATATTATTCAGTTTCATTTTCCAGGTTTAATTCCATCCACTTTAAAAATGTTGCTATTCTTCCCTTCTTTAAAAACAAATGTGATTTCATTTCCCTGGTTAATTTTTACTTCTCCTATTCTCCTTCTTCTTCCCTCCCCCTCTTTCCCCCACTCTCCCTAGCTCCTTCTCTCTCTCCCTATGTGTCTCTCCTTCCCTCCCTCCTCCTCTCTCTACCCTCTCTTGCTCTCTACCTCCCTCTTTCTCTCTCTTTCTCTTTCTCTCTCTCTCTTCCACTCCTCCTCCCTCTCTCTTCTCCCCCTCTCCCTCCCTCCTTCTCTCCTTCTTTATGCCCCAGTCTCTCTCTCTGTCCTCCCTCTCTCTTCTTTCTCTCTCTCTTTCTCCTCCTCCCTCCCTCTCTACAGATAGCCATTCTATCCATCAGGCTTTCTGGGATCAAGGGGCAATGAGGGAAGACAACTGCACTGTTAAAATTACTGAAATGAGGCCAGGCGCGGTGTCTCACACCTGTAATCCCACCCCTTTGGGAGGCCGACGCAGACTTATCACTTGACGCCAGGAGTTCAATACCAGCCTGCCTAACAGGGTAAAACCCCATCTGCACCAAAAATACAAGAATTAGCTGGGCGTGGTGGCACATGCCTCTAATCCCAGCTACTTGGGAAGCTGAGGCACAGAGTCACCTGAACCTAGGAGGAAGAGGTTGCAGTGAACCAAGATTGCACCACTGCACTCCAGCCTGGGCGACAGAGCAAGACCCTGTCTCAAAAATAAATAAATAAATAAATAGCTAAATAAATAAATAAATTTCCTTGAATGGATATTGGTATTTCATATACTATATACGTCACATGGTTGCTAACAGACTGGGTATTTTAATAAAAGAAGTAGTTAGCTTTTTTTTTTTCTTTAAATACATAGAGACTAACAGCGGGGACATTAACTATGGCAGTCTTCAAAGTCTTTGTTTTTTCTCATTACTACTTGCCATCTCATGTTACCTTTTTCTTAATATATCATTCATGTTCTGTTTTCCTATAATCCCCAAGACTACAGCCACATTTAAATAGTATATTTATATGTTGAACAGTATAGTAATACTGTTTAGACTAATCTTAAGAACTTTTTAAGTCTAAAAAAAGATCTTATTGAAAGCAGTTTAAGCCTCTCTGATGGCAATGTGTCTTTAAAGAACAGTTGAAAAGATGCCAAATATACAATATGCTGATAAGTGGGAAAGCTATAGTCACAAAAAGGCACATCTACTGGAAATATAAAGCATTTTACTGTAACAAAGAAAACTCATCTGGAAAATTATGCAGCAAACGACAGCAGTGATTAACTGTTGCTAAGGTGGAAAGCGGGTACAGACACCTTCAACCATCTCTGTGATCATTGTATGTTTATTAAAAATGTGTAACTTTTATATTGACAAAAGGAGTAGAGATGATAAAACATTTAATTTACCTACATATAATGAACAGATATCTCAATCTTTCTCCTCTTCACGTTAAACACTGATGTTATTTTATTATTATTATTATTTGAGATGGAGTCTCGCTTTTCCACCCAGGCTGGAGTGCAGTGGCACGGTCTTGGCTCACTGGAACCTCTGCCTCCCAGGGTTCAAGAGATTCTCCTGCCTCAGCCTCCCAAGTAGCTGGGATTACAGGCATCCACCACCACGCCTGGCTAATTTTTGTATTTTTAGTAGAGAGGGGGCTTCACCGTGTTGGCCAGGCTGGTCTCAAACTCTTGACCTCAAGAGATCCACCTGCCTTGGCCGCCCAAAGTACTGGGATTACAGGCGTGAGCCACCACACCTGGCCTGATTTTTTTAAAAATATATTTTTGTACTAAAAGAATGTCTATTATACTTTAAATACTATAAAGCAATTTGTTTATACTTCATCATCTTATCACCAATCTTCAGTTTTATGTATAAAAATTTATGATTAGAAACTGTACAAGCAGAAGTTTGAAGTATGTGACACAGGACAAAAGAAGGTGACACAGGACCTCACAGTTCACACATTTATGGACTTGGCCCTCTTCTGAAAATTGTACATTTTCCAAAGATATTCAGAAAAAAAAATCTACCTATAAACCACATATTACTGAATTATTTTCCCCATCAGTACTAATTTATGTGTATTATGCTGTCTGTTAGAATAAGAAACAGTGATTAATTATGACATCTCTCAGATTTAAATTCTTGCAAAATTTTCTACATGTTAGATGGTAATCAAACAAACAATTCTTTTAGAATTTAATGAAAATTTCCCCTCTTTCACATGGGTTTTTTATTAGAAAGAAATACAGTGGAAGCTTTCCACTTCAATACAGTGGAAGCTTACAATTATTTTATAGAGAAAATTGCATGCAGACTTGATTACTATAAGTCACAATACTTCAATATTTTAACAATTGAGTCCCAGAGTCAGGTAAACACCTTATGATATGGTAAAGGCACTTCTTTTCAAATAAAATCAGTGGTTGCCAGGAGATGCTGTGCTTGCTTAAAAAGAAACTCTAATCATATCTTCATTTTCATTAGGAATAAATGTTGTTAGTAGTTTCGTTAGTCATTCAAATAACCTCAAACCTGCGTTCAAATATTTCCTGGGCTTCTCCTTTCCTCCCCGCAGGGATGGCACTTCAAGTGCATATGCAGGACTTTTATTAGGTATTTAAAATGAGTAGCAGACTCTTATCCAGAGCCCATTTTTCCTTCATTCTAGCAGGAAAGGAAAAAATAATAACTCTCAGTTCTAAGCAAGCAGCAAATGGCATAGTTCTTTCTCAGTGGGAACCATCCCCACTCTACGTGTGAAGGAAGTCTTGTGGGGCTCTCCTCACCCTCTTTAGCCCAACCTCTGGACAATATCAATGTCGGCTTGGGTTGAACGTTGTTTTCCCAGAATATGAGTCTGACAGAATCACCAGCCTTCCTGGAAACTTCCACCTCACAACCTCCTTTACTGTATTTTGGGGCAAAGAGCATGAGACCAAGACAGGCTGTCCAGCCCTTTCTTCTCCACTAGCCAGATGTGGGGCAAAGCTACCTTGCATTATAAGATTCAATGTTCTTATCTACAAATTAAAAATCACACCTCCACTACCGTATTTAACTTGTAAATTGAATTATTTTGGAAATAATAGATAGTTGCCAAATCAAATTGTTATGGGATTACTGATTAAACAGACTTTTGTTTACTCCATAACCCTGAATCTCCTCATCCCCAGTAGATCCCAAAACACCAGTTTCAAAATGTTTAACATTTATACACCTGTTTTAAGTTGTTCTGGAAGTTGCCTCCATATATGGCAGTAAAGAGGAGAAACAAGTGGCTACTTTATGATTATCTGTTTAGCATTACAGGTGGTGGTTCCGTTAGTTCACACTGCCCACCACCTGTCTGCCTGTCTACCTTCTCAGTGCAATTCAACACCTGTCGATTAACTGGGTGATTTTTAAGGATCTATAGTTAAACTACTTTTGATTTTTCATCAGATTTGGAGTCCATATTTAGATTCTGCACTTTGTACAATAAGGATGTCAATGTGCCCCCACCTGCGTTCACCTTGTCTCTCTTTGTTGACTATATTTTTCAATGTTTGGTTCAGTAACATTTCCATTACACTATTAAACGTCACTCTCTCCTGTTTTATCTGCCCATTGATTCTAATTGACAATACAGGGCTTCATAGCATTATGTGTAAGTGTTGCTACAGACTAAGATAATGATTCAACAGTTTCCTAGGAGGAAATTTCTTTTCTTCGACAACTTCCTTAAATGCTTCTTGGCGTTCACACTGACATGATTTTAAAGAATGTCCTTGAATTCTCTGCTTTCGTCATATGACTGATTTCTTCCAACATTTCGTCACACTGTCTAGCCTCAAGAATTCTCCCTACACAGAGCTCTCCTTCCTGGGCCCTCCTCCCTTTGCTCTAATGGAAAGTACTGGGTCTGTGCCCACAGCTGTCAGCCTGCAATGTGCCCCGATCACTCCTCCATGCGGGATCCTCTTCTCTTCCCGTCCCAGGTTCCCTTTCTCTTGGCCTGGGCTTAGCGCCGCTTCCCAGGAGAATGACCTCAAACAACGCTTCCAGAGTATCTGCATGGGAGGATCAACCCACCAGTGCTTGAATGTTTCCCAGTCTAGCCTGCCTTGGTAGACTCTGCTCTTCATATTTTAGATGAGGATATAAAAGTATCATAAGCATTTCCTGAAAACACTTTGATGAAGTTGTCTCATTTTATATAATAGTCCAATTTAACTTGTAGACGTGGAATACCAACGAGCGCGATCTTCATTTCCAATGAAGAAATTCATGAGAAATGAGGATTTCCATGATCTTTGCTTTATCATTGTAGTTCTACAAGCTCACAGTGTTGGACAGATGGGTGTATTTTTAAAACATGCTGTTTAACACTTAGTAAGGCTTCCTCTTAGAACACGCATGCCTTTTGTCACTAAGAGATCCCTTCTCCGATTTGTTAATTTTCTATCCTTCACTTTCTCTATGTTCTCTTTCTTGAAATCCCTATTAGTCAGATGTTGGACCCATCGCTTGGGTTCCTCTCTCTTAATGTTTTTCTCACATACTCTGAACCTTGTAATTTAGTTTCATATTTTGTGAGACTTCCATAGCCTTATTTTCCAAGCTTTTTTTTCTCAATTTCAGCAAACACAATTGTCTTCTAAAAAAATCTTTACATTTTCTAATTATTTCTTATCCATAAAATCCAGTTCTTCTTTTATGGATAAAACATCTTCTTGAATTCTTCTAAATTCTAAGTTTAATTCTTCTAATTTAAGTCTAACTCTTCTAAGGTTTTCTTCCTTTGTTTCATTTAGAAATAGTTTTCTGTTTAACTGGAATTTTAAATTCAATGTTAAAGATTTTCCTTGCATGTACGTTTCTACTCGATCTTGCATTTATGTCTTATAACAGGAGGGTTTGTGATGAGTGTGTGCATGCGGGTAAGTCATTTGGGAGCAGACCGTTTGGAGGAGGTGACACCACACTCCAGCTTGCAGCATAGTTCTAAGAGGTCAACGACTCTCATTAGCTTTCCTCCATGATTTTTTCTGGATACTTCTGTCCATATTTTAATAAATGTGCCTCCACTGTGTTGCTGAGGTAGGAATGATGGCTGTGAACCCTTCGTGGGTAGCCACATTATTTATGAATTTAGAACAGGGATGTAGACAGAAAGTCATATTGATATACGTTTAAATAACCCTTCTATTTTCACCCCGCGTCTCATTCTGCTGACAGTTTCAGAGATCAGGGTCTCTGTGTCTTTGTTCTGCTGGAGGTCAGCTCCCATGTGCACGCCCTCTAGGCCTATATTTACCTGTAGTTTACTCCACTGTGCTATTCAAGGCGGGCACATTAACTTTCTTCAATTCAGAAATCTGTTGAAAAATTCTATATGCTGATGGTCCCATCACAGTTTGCAGGGTCGCAGTGAGTTTACCATGCCATTTCCTTTATAATTCATGTGGTATAATTTAAGTGGAATCAAAAGGAAACGAGGATAAAAAGTTAGACGCTCTTACATTCTTTCCTGAATGGATATCCATGACCAAGGTTTTGCAAGCTGCTCCAGTGGTTAATCCAAATGAGAGGTTTCATAAGTAATGAAACCTCTTGAAAATGAAAGAAAATGAAACATTTTCTTCCAAATAACAAATTGTTATTGAAAATATATTCTGACACATGTTAAATCTTCTCTTTTGAGCCATTAGAAAAAACCCCTCCCCTCATTTATTTCTTGAGACAATTTCTTGCTCTGTCATCTATGCTGGAGTGCAATGGTGCAATCGTGGCTCACTGTAGCCTCGGCCTCCTGGGCTCAAGCGATCCTCCCACCTCATTCTTCTGAGTGGCTGGGACCTCAGGTAAGCACCATCCCCAGCTGATTTTGAAAATTTTTGTAGAGATAGGGTCTACCTATATTTCCCAGGCTAATCTGGCACTCTTGGGCTCAAGTGATCCTCCAGGCTGGGCCTCCCAAAGTGCTGGGATTACAGGCGTGAGCCACTGCACCCATTCCTAATACCTCTTTTAATATATCTAGAAATAAGCAAGAAAGGTGAACTGAGTTATACCATTTGAAGAAAAAGCCTTCTAATGAGACTGAAATGATAAAATTTAACTTTTAACATTTGTGTGTATACATATACACAAAACCGTGTATATAATCACATATAGCTGTTCTGATTTCAATACAAGTGTTTTTGCTTATCACAATTGGTTTAGTCATTTATTCATGTTTCAAACATGAATTAAACTCATTATTTTTATCAACTGTACTAGGAGAATGGCATTCAAAGATGAACAAGAAACTCAGATTCTAGTTAACTTGGTTTATGTTTCTTCTTTTTTATAAACAGCCTTAAACAAACATCAGTTGTACAAGTATTTAATTTAAATCAATCAAACATAAGCATCTGTTATGCAACACAGTTTCTTCCATAGATTTATATAGGGTTGACTTTACTAGACTCTGAAAGCCCATGAGTACATCCTGTTAGAGATTTATTCTTTCATTTATTTATTCATTTAATTTGCAAGGCTTTGAACTTAATAAAAGCTCAATTATTGTGTGTTAGCTGAAAACACGGGGTTGGAAGGAGTATAAGACTTCATAATATAATTATATAACTCTTTATAATATTCCAGGCAATTCTTTAAAAATATTCTGCTTCTAAGGTTGTTCTTAATGTCCTCATGATCAAGTTGGTCTCTGGTTTGAGATTGGAATAGCAAATTAAAATAAAAAGTCTCACCTGGCAGAAAAGAAAAAAAAGAAGTAAAATATAGCATTCTGGTAACATAACAGGTCAGATTAATTATAAGATTGGCTAAACATCTAAAGTAGATTACGCCCCTGACAAGGACAAAAAAAAAAAAAAAAAAAAAAGAGGCAAGGAAGTGTATGCAGGCCAGGAAATTTCCAGAATGTGGGGCTCTGGCCCAGAAATTGCGCTGAGAGATTTTGAGCAGCCACGGTGGAGTGGAGAGAGTGCACCTTCACAGGGAGGATCCTTTTCTGAAACGGAATATTTTGTACCATCTAAAAGTGCACATCTCTTTATTCCCTAGAGAATATTATCGTGGCTCTAAGTAAATTGTTGGAGTTAGATGATAATTAAATATATTTTAGTTAATCTTGACTCAACATAAATGTTGGTAAGAAAGTTACTTTTTTTTTCCTGAAGAGCTATTTATACAAAAAATTAAGCCCCTGCAAAGCTATTGTGTATGAAGCTCTCTGTAATGCGCAATGAGTATCAAAGATCAAGACAAGGAAATGTCTCAGTAAATTTAATGTCTCAATAAATTTAATGTCCAGATACATATAAATTTGTTATACACAGATAAGGCTACAACTAAAGTAGTTGATTCTTAACTCAGCAAATTTGAACTTATAGATTTATAAAATTGGGCATTTTATTTTTTATATTAAATAGACTTACATTAAAAATGATAATATTTATTACACCTAAATACCCAATCTCCATTACTCATTTGACTTAATAGCAACTAGTTTTAAATAGAAAATTGTTAACATAATCCTTGCTCATTTATATTTCTACTTTTTCCTTACAATTCTCTTTAACTTCCTTTTCAATTAGACAATATTTTTATCCTGGAAACTAATGAAGATTGCTTCAAGTTTTTATAAATATGAACATGACCACCTTGGGACAGACACTCTAATGACTGAAACAAAGCAATACAAATGTGAATCTTTAGATTTCAAACTGAAACAAGCCAAAGCACTCCTGAATTAAGAAAAAATATATATCGGGAATTTTAGAGGAACCCCATCAGTAAAGAGAAGACAAAGCAAACACTGCTTCCAAGTAAGACTGGTGGGCATGCATTCCCGAAGGCAGTATATAGAGTTTCAGGGAACCAAGCTCCAGAAAAACAACCACACTAGTAAAAAATATTTAATTAATATTTTTTTTTTTCTGAGACAGAGTCTTGCTCTGTCACCCAGGCTGGAGTGCAATGGCGCAATGTCAGCTCACTGCAACCTCTTCCTCAAGCAATTCTCCTGCCTCAGCCTCCCAAGTAGCTAGAATTACAGTCAGGCACCACTGCGCCCAGCTAATTTTTGTATTTTTAGTAGAGACAGGGTTTCACCATGTTGCCCAGGCTGGTCTTGAACTCTTGACCTCAGGTGATCCACCCACCTCAGCCTCCCGAAGAGCTAAGATTACAGGAGTGAGCCACTGCGCCCGGCCTTAAAAAATTCTTAGGTGTCCAGAAATTATCCGAGTGTATGGCTAATAAAGAAACATCTATTGATGAAATTGGCTGCAGTTTGCAACAGCAGCGAGAGTCGGCTTCACTCTTCCCTGCAGCCCTCAGCTCAGTGAGGTGAGCCCCTCCTTGGGACTGCGCGCAGAGTAGATGGGACAGAACACACCCTGCAGAGCCTAAACAAGGGTCTGGTGCCTCCGTGGGAGGTTAGGTCTCCAGCCTTTCTCATCCCCCACAACTACGTGATGCAGAGGACAAGTTCCTCGAGAGTTTGGGGCTGCCTTGTCCCCCCAGGGCCCTCTCAGAGGACAGAGACTCGACTCCAGGGAAGACAAGCCAGGAACATCGGAACTCAGGTCCCCTGCACCCTGGTGGGCCTGGATGATGGAGGTTGCACACAGAAATCCAAATTAGAAAACTTGAAGCTGCTTCACCTGGCCCATGCTCCGCCCATAAAGCAGGTGTCACTTTGAGAGAAGTGGCCACCGTCCCTGCACCAGCTTGGGAGAAGTGGCTCAGAGATTTTGCCAGAAGCAGAGGCAGGCGGTGAGAACAGACAGACCCACAGCTCTCCCCAGAGGAACCAACGTTATTTGAAACGGGGTGCGGGGATTTCTCTCTGCAGGAAGTCAATTCAGACTCCTCGACAAAGCAGAGATTTTGTTTGTCATTGCAAGCCTATTTAGTAGTGTTTTTAAGAGATGAAATATATTAATTCCCAAGGGGGCACCAACCGTTTTGGCAAGTGCTACAAATAAAAACACATAAAGTCTCAGCCCTCCAGCAATTTTTTAAATCTGACTTAAAGAACCATATCCATTAGAAAATAAATACAATGAAAAGAAGGCATGTATGTGATTGCTCCTATGCATTCATTGAGAAATAAGGTGGGCGTCAGGAAGGGTGTCGGCCTGCACCCAGAGAGTAAGGGCATTTTAAACCTCAGAGCAGGGCAGGGCACAGGGAGTGTGGCAAGGGAGAGAGCAGACGGCCTAGAAGCCAATGAGGAGTTTACACAAAGGACTCACCCCAGTCCAGCCTGGTTTCTCACCAGCCAGCATCAGCCATTTAAGGAGAAAGTAGTTATTTGCATGGAGATGTTAGAGAAAGAATTTAAATCCCAAGAGACAAAAAGGTATATACAGTCAATTAGATAATCTTGCTGCAATTTGTAATTTGAAGTTCAGAACTATACATATAAATAGGTCTTATTTTATGGTGCCCTCTGATTAAACATGAAAATAAAATATTCACTAACTGACCAATTGCTGTACTTAATTCTGAAAACTTGCCATCTTTGTTTTCGTAAGGTAGATGAGTCTTTTGTATACATGCATGGATTTTATTATACTCATAAATATGTTTCATGTATGTCTATGTAAAGGTGAGAAGAACGATTTTATTAAATTCCTGTCTTAGCATAATCAACTTGGTTGTTCAGTCTATATAGCTTTTTTTATACCTTAAAGTGATAACTTAATGCTTCTTCTATCACTGCACTGGTCTCTGATAGATGAACAGGAAGACTGTGGTTCCCAACTATAGTAAATTTATGTTAGCAATGGAGCAACAACATGTTGATCAAATGGAAAGTTGATTCAATCATATGTCTTGTGGGACTGGGAGTAGGGGAAAATGCACTTTGACAACCAAAGCACAATTGTAAAAATCACTATCTTCACGTATAATTTTATTAAACAACAATGTCAAGCTGCTGAATTAAGAAGAGCTAACAGGTCATTGTCTGTAAAAACACAATTAGCAACAAGTGGCATTTAATAAGGTTGATTTTGCAGGGTATCTATCAGAGTCACAATTTTTTTTTATAATTAGGGTAGGTCACATTTTATTCGCTGTATTAAAAATGACACTAATGTTGCCAAGTTCATGAATTTTGATGAAAGTGTTCAATGTACATGTGACTCATCAGTCTGAAGGCAAATCATTAAAATGTCATGCTCCCTAACATGAATTTTCCTTCAGGCAGTAACAAATTGGGGAAAGTGTGAGAATATGAGCTAGGTAACAGCTTTCACACACTGTCTTACTTTTCATTTTAATTGTATAGCATTTTAGTGACTGACCAAATTATTTTGTTATCTCCTTAAACATGACAACTTTATGCAACTTTAATTTTGAAAACTGCATCGACACTGAGTTCCACGATGATGTAGTCTAAGAATTTGAATATATTCATTTGGTCTTAAAATTTGAACCTTGACATTTTCCTCAGTATTGGCAGCTCCCACAGTGTATCTCTTTAATTAGTTCAATGCTTTGCTTGTACCAAAGCACAGGACCAGGGCGTTCACGCAACTGTAATTACCCCTTGCAAATTGTCTTCCATAGAACCTGATGGAGAGTCTTTGCAAAATAATTTTTAGAAATGCATTTTTGTCATCTTCTTTACTATCCATCAATATAATTCATAGCTGTCATTTTAAAGCTTTAATTTCCGGGTGGGCATTGCATTATTGCACATCCAGGATAAAGGATTAGAAAAGGCTACATCCATTAACGGGAATGTTCTGGCAGATGCAAGTTTGCTTTTCAGCACTTTCCTCACTAAGCTGATCTTGTTCAATCCCATGCCATCCAAAAGCTAATTTCCACACCCTCTTTCTCATGCCCACCCAGAAAGAGATGCAAGTGCTTAAAACAAGGAAATCATCTTAAGTGAATTTCCATATAATTTAACTTTTGACTGCTTCACTGTACTTCCAGTTTTCTTAAAATTGACAGGTAAAGAACTCAAATAAAATAAAAACATATACCTAATATATACATAACACATACAATCTCAATGTGCCTTTTGAGTTTTTTATAGACAACTTTTCCTGACGGATTTCTTTTCAAATAGTGGAACCATTCTTATTTTTTTCCAAAAATTTCAAAAACATGCAACACAAAATTACACTGAGATTTGTGACAATATCTGAGGTCCCTATATAGAGGAAATAAAAAAAAATTGAGAGAATAAGCACACACTTTGGGAAGACGCTGTAGGGAGAAAGTTGTGGATGGAGCCCACTCGACTGCTTCTTACCCAGTTATTTATCCACTCCCATTTTCTAACTGCATCCAGGCAGTCTCTTGCCCTTATTTATGTAATATATACATAGACGCCAACCCCAGTAGTGATAGAAGAAGAGTCCCATATGCCTATAAATGGAGACCCACAGCAGGGATTTCACGATATTGGATGTAAAACATGCAGGAAAATGTTTTTTTAAAGTTGTGTGAGCTAGAACAGCTGGATAAATCTAAAGGCTTGTTGTGGTGCCTGTGTGTGGACTCCAAACACACAATGAGCAGCTGGCATGCACTGAGAGTGCCGGTTAGCAACACACAGCACAGCAGAAGGTCAGTGGAACTTATCAAGAAATATGATTAGGGAAAAAGATGAAAATGTGTTCAGCACTCAAAAAAGTTTCAAACAACATAAGTCCACACAAGTCGAGAATAAATAAATGCCGGACTATATGCTGACAACTGTATTATCAAAAGTACGGTTTTAGGTGGAGAAAGGCAAATTTTGGTGAAAAACATTATAGAAAACATTTTGAAGGAAGTGACATTTGGGCTAGGGCTTAAAAATGGATAGGAAGCCCTTTATTTTTAATATATCACAAGCATATACTTACAAGTGTAAATTTGGACTTTGCATTCTCAGCTCTTCTCCTTTTCAGAAATAATTGGAGTCATGTAACACTAAAAGACACATAAAACTAAGAAAGTTTAAAATTGTTCTCAGTTTCTACCCAATATTATAAACAATAACAGAGTTAGAAATATTGTTAAGGTATTGTCAAAACTAAAATTGTATTTATGATATTTTATGATATTCAGAGCTAAATAAATTGTATTTATTTGTTACAATGTGGATTAACCTAGGCACATTATGTTAAGTGAAATAAGCCAGGCACAGAAGGACAAATACCCTCCCGTATGTGGATCTACAAAAGAACTCATAGAAGCAGAGAGCAGGGGTGGAGAATGGGGAGTTGTTGGTGGATGAGCACAAGCTTTCACTTCCGAGATGAATAAGTTCTGGGAATCTAACATACGGCATGGTGACTGTAGCTAACAACTCTGAATTATGTACTTGAAATTCACTTAAATGTCTTAACCACAAGGCAAGGCAAAACAAAACAAAAAGGTAACCGGGTAAGGTGATAGTTGTGTTATTAACTACATTGATGATGGTGATCTTTTCAGTATATACATTACCATATATACACAAAAAATCATCATGTCATAGATCTTAAAATCATATAATTTTATTTCTCAATTATACCTCAGTAAGTTTGGACATTTTTTTAATTAAGAAAACTAATGGAGGTATAAAAGTTTAAAAGTAATCTTTATATTTCTAATTATATTCCAATAACTGATATATTTTACTTAGTTTATTCCTCTTACTGTGTATATTAGTTTTTTTATTTGTAATGGTTTCTCTTCATGTTGTAAAGATGACATTTGAGTATTAATAATGTGGTGTTACTCAAACAATCTGTATAATAAAAAGTACACAGAACATGTTACCTTCTCCCACTATACCAGAATATCCATTAGGACTAAGACCATGTCTATACTTCACTTACCACCACGTTCCATGTAATGAGCACAGGGCCTGTGCCCACAATTATGCAGTCACCTGCTGGAGTGAAGTATTCTGAAAAGTTCTATGGAATTATGATAATCAAATTGTTCAACAAGTTGGAGAATTACAGCAAATGAAACAGATAAAAATGTGGAGAACTTCTCCAGGGAATTGGAATCTAAAAATAAAAGTCAAATTTTAGAACTAAAAGTACAATAACAAAAATAAAGGCCCTGGTAATAATGTATTCAACAGTAGATGAGACAATGGTGAAAGGAAATTTGGGACAACAGAACATATTAGAGTTAAACACAGGAAATAAAGAATGGGTAAGAAGAAGGGAACAATAAAGATACATGGACATGTTTGAAAAAGATCTAACATACATGCAATTATCATACACAAGAAGAAAAACAAGTAAATGAGGCAGAAGTACTATTTGAAAAAAAATAGCTGGCGACTTTACAAAACCAAGGAACTTGATAGATTCTGCAATGCACAGTGTTCTGCAAATCTCCAATAGGATCAGTGCAAGGGAAACACGTGGGTGTAAAATAGATTGATGGAAAAAAAGCAGCAGCCAGAAAAAAAAGGAATAATAAAAAATAAATTTTAAGGGAGTATCATTAAAACTAAAACTTAATACTGAACAAAAATTTTGGAATCCAGAAGAAAATGAAAAGGCATCTCAATGTCCTGAAAGAAAGTAATTACCAAACCAGAATCAATAACACCTTTCAAGAGTGAAAATGAAATAATGATTTTATGATGAAGAAAAACTCAGAATTTTTTTTACCAGAAAACCTACACTAAGAGAAATACTAAAAGTAGTTCTTCAAGCAGAAAGAAAATGAGCTAAGAGTTAAGATAAAATTATAGGAAAGAACAAAGATCAACAGTGAGGGTTATTATGTAACTACATAAAATTGACCACTGGCTAAATATTGACCTGCAAAATTAATATTATTAGTGGCCCTATGGTGTTTCAGTGCAGGGCAAAAAAAAATGCAAAAGGTACAGGGTGGTAAGTTGAGATAAAGAATCACCATCTTCGGAAATGTTAAGAATATAAAATGAGATTCTGTATGAATCTACATGTAAGATTCTGTAAGGTGAGATTCCATGTTAAAATTTTTGCTAAAATAGTAGAGTGAGTCCATAAGTAAAAAATTAATGCGAGAAAATAAATATTTGACTAAAATATACAAAAGATACAAATGCTCCCAGTATTATGAAATAAATATTTTGGTGGAAAAAACTATTTTAAAATTTTGCTGAATTAAGTATTCTAACTAAGAATCAAGAGAGATCGAGAAAAGAAGAATAATGTTGCACATTATAAGACACAAAACTTAAATATAGGAGTTGGTAATGTTGACAGTAAAAACATAAGAAAAGGTATACCACAAAAACACTAACAAAAGAAATCTAGGTTACTTGTATGAACAGCATATAAAGAATAGTTCAATTAAAGAAGGATTACCTAAAACAAAAAGGGACGCTTTATGATTAGTAGATGATTCACCAGGAGCTGTTGTAATTTTAAATCTATATGTAGCCAATAACAAGGCTTCAAATATATACAGCAAAAATTGACAGAATTGAGAGGAGATATAAGCAAGTACACGATCATAGTAAGAGATTTTAACACTCATAATTACTAATAAAATAGGCAGGTGAATGTATCAGGGAGTATTCAGAAGTCACAAACAACTGAGACATACATTATTATGAGGTATATCTGAGCTATTTCTTGGAACTGACCATATCTTCAGTCATCAATCAGAAAATCTCAGAAGATCGAAATTGTCAAGAATATATTGGACTAAAATGGAATTAAGGTGGATATTAATAACAGAAAGATAACTAGAAAATTCTCAATTGCATGGAAATAAAGACTACACTATTGAATAATTCATGCGCCACAAAAGAACATTACAGCAGAAAGAAGAAAATATTTAACTGGATAGTCATAAGTATAAGAAGAAATCAAAACATACGGGTTGCAGCTGAAAAGAATGTTGAGGAGATTTTTCTTGGAAGCCTATTTTCCAAAATATACAAAAAAAAACTGAAAATCAAACTTCCAAATGATAAGGCTGTTAAAAAAAAAGAAAGAAAGAAAAACTAACAGAGTTAGAGGAAGAGAATAAAAATATCAGGGAAGGTTATTCTAATTTTGACAGTTATCCCAATGTTTAAGAAACAAACATTCTCTCAAAGAGTTCATATAACAAAGTTAGATGACAGATTGTTGGGATTGTTTACCTGGGATATCAATGGATTCAACAGTGAATGATTTCGAGGAGGGAGTCATGGAAATGACAGACCATGCCATGATTTGTTTTCAGCCAGTAAGCACTGGTATGGCTTTTGTTTAACGTATTTCTGTACCACTTGGTAAATAGTTACTGAGGTCAGCGGTAAAATCATGAGCAAATCTTCTGATCTATTTGATCTGAGATCACATAGACAGAATGATTGAACTACACATTCTTTGTAATATGTTCTAAACTGTAGTATTATTAGAATTATCAGTTTTATTATACTCATATTATTTAGTTGTTTCTACTACTCCTGGATAAAATATCTTTTTCATTGCTTTTAATATCCACATGGACAGCACTTGTGTAAGTACTCACTATGCAATGCATATATTTATAAATTGGAGAATCTTTAATAAAACATTAAGAAAAAATTTACATCTTTAAAATGGCTTGGGGGAAAAGCAATGATATTAGTAACAAAAATAGTCTGGAAAATTTATGACATCATAGAAATCAGAATAGGCAGGACTATATTTTGTCTATAAGAATCAGTAAAATTGAACAAATATATTTCAAAACTATATGTGAGTGAAGTTGTACTGCTGGTGACATAATGTTGAAGGCAAATGGTGCTCAAAAGTTATATCAATAAAACCTAAAAGTGCTGATACTTAGATATTTCATCAGAATAGAATTGTATTTGATTTAAGGTACAGATTTTAATGGGCAAAATGTGCAATCATTAATGAAGAAATGATGTAAACAAATTAAATTTTTAATTAAAACACTATGCTAAAAAGCAAATGTTTTTCAAGAATGTTAAAAAAGCAAACAAATAACACAGAAACTAAGATGACAATTTTTAACCATATGTACTTAATAGTTAAAAATAACCATGCACTTTCAGACACTTATGATTTACTAAGGCTTGAAAACAATATTAATAGATAGATATATGCTTTACCTGCTTTAAAAATAGGTATCTATTTTCATGAGAAAATTAAATTTTAAAAATCAACAATTAAGATAATGCATTTTCAATAATAATCTATGAATATTTACTTCTTATAAATAAATGTGTTTAAATCGTTTCCTTAAAATGTAAAATTCAGACCTTAAGATAATTTCAATTTTTAATCTCATGGAACCAGAAGCATCAGCATATGAAATTATGTATCAAAGATTTGTTTGTGCTTCAAAATTTCCATCTGGTAAAAAACTATGAGTGAAAAATTATTGGATTTTAGTAGACATCATATTATTAAATTTATAGAAAAAAATAGATGGTTTTAGTCAAAATCTTGGAAAAGTTTCTGAAGGTTTTATTTTGGCACTGATTTGCCACATGAAATTTTCTCTGACTGATACAACAAAAAATAAAATATTTTAAATGTTTTCTACTATATGCCAAATAATTTTCACAGAAAATTAAGCACCAAGGATTGAAACAATGAACTATGGAAGGAAATTTAAACAATGTACTGTGGAAGAAAATTTAAACTTTGTTGGTTAGCCTTGAGGCCAGAGGATATGAAACGGTTTGAAATTCTTATGGAATCTTCTAAATTTACTCTGATGAAAGTTAATGAACAAATAATAATAATTTTAAAATGTATTTACTAGAGTTATTTGGTTTTCATAAAATGCATCCTACCAGACACACCAATTTTGTTTCAAAAGAAATAGTTCAGTTGTTAAACCATGATTATTGATTTGTTGAAGATTCTATTTAATTAAATGAAGGAAACTGGCAAAGATATAGAAATCACAGAGAAATTAAGTCATATGATATAAAATAAAACAGAACATTTATTCTTTTTATAATTTACGAAATATTGAGACACTGACAAATGACTTTAACAATGTTCTATGGATAAAAACTAAACAGAAATTAATAATAAGCTAACTATTTAAATTTTAAGATCTCCCATTAAATAGAAGAAGTAAGATCTAGAGTTTGGTAGCACAGTAAGGCAACTATAGTTAACAATAATTTATTATATTATCTCAAAATGACTAGAATATATGGGGAATGTTCCTAGCACAAGAAATGATAAATGTTTGAAGTAATAGATATTCGACTACCCAGATTTGATTGGTATACATTATATGTTTGTATCAAAATATCACATGTACCCCAATAAATATGTACAACTATAATGTATCCATAAAAATAAAAATAAAAAAATAAAAATATCTCATCATTGAATTTTTAAAAAATTGATCCATGACACAAACAAGTTTTATAATGTCAATGTTATTAGAAATGTGAGGAAAATGTAATGTGATTTCTCTTAGATTCTCATAAGCTAAAACAGAATTCAACTCACACGTAATGCCTTGGACGTTGAACTACGTGGAAAGTAATGGAAAAGTTTGAAGTCACTGCTCATGGCAGACCATGTGTCAGAAAGAATAGTTCAGCTAAAATAACCAACCCAAATGCAATTTACAGGCAAAATTTGCTATTTTTCTTAAAAATATGCTAATTTTCTCAATAAATAGCAAATAACTGGAAATTATTAGAATGACTTGATCAAAACAATTTTTTCTGAGACAGAGTCTCGATCTGTTGCCCAGGCTGGAGTACAGTGGCAGGATCTCAGCTCACGGCAACCTCCACCCCCTGGGTTCAAGTGATTCTCCTGATTCAGCCTCCCTAGTAGCTGGAATTATAGGCATTCACTACCATGCCTGGCTAATTTTTATATTTTTAGTAGTGATGGTGTTTCGTCATGTTGGCCAGGATGGTCTCAAACTCCCGGCGTCAAGCCAGCCTTGACCTCCCAAAGTGCTGTGATTACAGGTGTAAGCCACAGTGCCCAGCTTGATCAATACTTTTAATACTACCACTTTTAAAATTCAGTAAACAGTTTTACTAATTATATAGATGATAGATAAATATGTGGATAAATGGATAGATAGATGATAGATAGATAGATAGATGATAGATAGATAGATAGATAGATAGATAGATAGATAGATAGATAATAGATAGATAGACAGATAGATAAAGAATAATTTTGGAAAAAGGAAATATCAGTTTTTGAAATGACTTTTTCTCAAAAAAAAATAAAGCCAAAGAGAAAAATAGATGAACGTTAAGGGTAAGAATTATGTATTTGAAAAATAGTCCAGGGAAGCTATTAATTCTAAAAGTATATCTTTTGCTGTATTGATTACTTTGACAATGTTTACTTCTTTAAATTCTACCTGTGCTCCAAAGCTTTTATGGCCGCTAGAAAATAAATGGTATTTAGAAACACATATGTGAGCCTTTATAGGTTACACTGTGGCTGGCTAAATGGAAGTTAAATAATTATATGATGAATGTACCTTTAAAAACTATGTGGTCTGGAGGAAACAAAATGATGTCATGGCATAATAAATGGGCACTATCTGGAAAAGGGGACAATTTCCTTGAAGGCGTGATTCTGAAGCCCTTTCTTTCGTAAGAGTAAAAGTTAAAAAAGAAAAATATCTTTCATTTGTCATATTTTAGCATAAAATTATAAAAGCATATTAATTCATTGGAAAAAAAAAACCCTTTCAGGCAAAGATTCAGAGGAAATGTTTTTAAACACGCATTTGTCTCCACCTGAGCGTGATTGATCAATGCAGTAGATGACGTTCTCAACTTGTTTCCTTACTCAACTGAACTCAGAAAGGGCGAGATGCCAGGGGCTATGTTTCAAGGCAGAGTGTGGTATTGAAAAGACCTGATCTAATTAAAAGGGGGGAAACCTGAAAATAAATAAATAGTCCAAATTTGAGTAATCTCATGTGGCTTTTGACATGAGCCCTGTAAAATGCAATGCACAAGACCAAAACAGATTCTCGTAGGAAGAAGCACATGCCTCAGCTACCCAGTAGGTAAGGTAAGATAAATCATTATTAATATGATCAATGTACTTGTATTGACTAATCAAAGTGTTAGCCTTTTAATAAATCAAAACTAAATGTGACCATCTTTCAATTGTATGTCACCATTGAATTCCAAAGGGTCTCATGGCATCATGTGTGATTGTTTAGTAAACAGACTAAATGTTTGAGCATTAGCGAATCCAAGTCTAACAGCTGCATTCCCCTGGGCACCATTATTCAAGGAGCATCTCTCAGAGAACATCGAAGCCAATGGGGAGGGAATTATGGGAAGGTCATCGTGAGAAACTGGGGAGGGGATTATGGGAAGGTCATCCTGAGAAACTGTTCCCCCTGAATCCACCTGAGTCCAGTGGAGAGTGGGTTGGGAAGAATTTACCCCAGTTATAGGGTTCTTTCCCATGAGGAAATATATTCAAACACAATTTTAATAAAAGAAATAAAAATTAATTATCCTATAAAACAATATAGATTCTCCAGAGTTTTGTACTTAAATATAATTAAGTATCCCAACTGAAAATAGCTCCGACTTATCTCAATTTTGAAGACTAATCTAGTTCACTATTCTGTGTCTCTGGATAGTTGTTAATTATGTTATTACTACTCTCATTAATATTAGCAGTGTTCGTATTATTTGAGTTTCCTCTTACCTTTTGTAAGAAGATGCATTTGCGTATTTTTTCTAGATAACAATAAAAGAATTTGTACAAAATGACTTGTATAACACGACTCCTTCGGTATCCACAGCACATCATTCATGGGTGGTAACACACAGAGAAGGTCCCTCCCCACTAAGTCTTACTGGGCCATCCTCATATCCTACTTTGTAAGCTGAAAAATAGAATCTCATGATTGAAATGGTAGAACTGTCACATTTTGTAACATTCATGTATGTCCACTGTGAACCAGGGGCACAGTTTTCTCTTACTGTTGTTGTTTTACTAAACATCATCAAATATTCACAAATGTGAGAGAGAGGAAAGAGAGGGTGGGATATAGTATGATATATATAAAATATATATGACATTATATGTATATGACAATGTGCCGATAAGTATGATATATGTTACATACCATGTATACATACGACAATGCACTGCAGGTCTCCAGGAATTAACATGTGCAATATTCCTCAGGAGGCACCAGTCTCATAGTTCATATAAACAGCAACACCAGAGTTTATGCAATCTCCAGCTATATGGTTGCATGAAATTGTCCCAGTAATATGTAATGTAACATATAACATATGACTTATATAATGAAAAATACAAGGACCTCACCCTGAGGTGTACATGTGTTCATGAAAAGCTGCACCTCCTATTTGAGGAGGCAAAAAATTTCACCAGCTTTAAAAATCTTAATAACTTTAGCTAATCCAATGCTGTTCTTTCGCAAATTTATCGGCAGAAGACCTATCTCTATAGCAAATGCTATTCCTGCATCTCATGCGTGGTGAGTGGTGCTTGTTATGTGGTGAGTGGTGCTTGTTGTCTGATTTTTATAGCTCTATTATGATCAGTTTGAAATGTAGTTGTAGTTCTCAGGCCTTACAAATGCATGCAACTTGTAGTCAAAGAAAGAGTGATTTGAGGCATTGGGATATTACCCTGACCCACCCTTTATTAGATCATCTGATTTATATTCTGTTCCTGACTGTCATTGTTTTCTTCTACACAGAAAAAAAATTGGTTTTTATCCTGCTGCTCGAGCTTGTGAAGCAGGGTAAGTCAGCAAACAAAGTAAAATAAGCAAATGTGATAAACGACCCAAGGCTATGGAGAAAATCTTTTATTAGAGGCAGATCTCACTCCCCACTCTCCAGTAGAGGCCACTGGTCCTCCTGAATTAATACCTGATAATATCCTCAGATTCATGGGTGAGGCCCCCAGGGCATGACAGAGCAAGATATATACTCTTAAAATACTTTCCACAGGACTTTTTTGAATCTGCTAAGTTACTAGGTTTTGGGTTTTACCTGAATATTCAGAGCTAACTATCTCTTGAGAACACTTGGAATACAAATGTCATGTGGACTAAAGAGAAAGAAACCAGGCCACGGGCAACTGAGGAGTGATTTGGGGACAATTGCAGAGATGTTTAAAGAGAAAATAACTCAAGATCTCCATGTCTTGTGCAAGGCATTCTTTGCTTCCACTTTCCCATGAAGTATTCATTAGAATCTCCATACTCATACATGCATAGCAAATGTTCATGTATTTTGGGAGTTGTGGCAAAGTACTGACTATATTCTCACTAAATAAGGGCCTAAGGATTCCAGTTAATTAGCTGAGATTTGCTCCAATTAATTTGAATCTGTTCATTATCCCCTTTTACCATATAATCACGTCCCTTCTGATCTTTGCAAAACTCTCAGACAAAATTTCAAAAACAACAACGAAAACCAGAGACCATTGTCTTCCACCTCTATTATCAGAAAGTCGTTTCCATATCCATCCTTGTCCACCATGTGCAATGTCTGCCTACTGCCCTCTAAGAATCACTCCAATTCCTGTTGTCCACTCCTGGGTAAGGCATCCACTCATGACTAAGAGTAAAACTGTATACTCAGTAAAGAGACTGCAACTGGATACCAGAGTGAGGCCGTCTCAAACTACCAGCATTTCGCTTTCTTTTCTTTTTTTATGCTTCTCACATTTATTTTTTATTTTATTTTATTTTATTATTATTATACTTTAAGTTTTAGGATACGTGTGCACAATGTGCAGGTTTGTTACATATGTATGTATACATGTGCCATGCTGGTATGCTGCACCCATTAACTCATCATTTAGCATTAGGTATATCTCCTAATGCTATCCCTCCCCCCTCCCCCCACCCCACAACAGTCCCCGGTATGTGATGAAGACACATGCACACATATGTTTATTGCGGCACTATTCACAATAGCAAAGACTTGGAACCGTCCCAAATGTCCAACAATGATAGACTGGATTAAGAAAATGTGGCACATATACACCATGGAATACTATGCAGCCATAAAAAAGGATGAATTCATGTCCTTTGTAGGGACATGGATGAAGCTGGAAACCATCATTCTCAGCAAACTATCTATCGCAAGGACAAAAAACCAAACACCGCATGTTCTCACTCATAGGTGGGAATTGAACAATGAGAACACATGGGCACAGGAAGGGGAACAGCATTTCACTTTCTTTCTGCATATCGTTTTAAACTCCATCAACTTCAGAGTTGTTGTAAGATTAATAGAAAATCAGGCAAATGGCCTGGGTGAGCTTGTCACTATACATTAAGTATGCAGTAACTAAGAAGTTCAATGATGGTGAGAATAATTATGATCACTGAGACATTCGTGCTGATGGGGAGAATCACAAATGCTACCATGTTTGAAAATTTCAGCATGATGTTTGTATTTAATGATAATTTCAAACACTAAAATTCTTTGACATTCAAAGAATGTTGCCAAAGGACAGAATAACAAGTGATTAGGCACCATTTGGAACAGGTCGATGAATAAATCTATGTTTCTTATTACATTGGGTAATGACTTTCTTTTCAGCCTTATGGGGAGAGACCAATAATATCAAGACTGATCTGAAAAACATGTGGGGTTAGATTTACTTCTGGTAGAATCATAAGGAAAATATCCTGGATCCTATACAAATCCAGATATTTGTATTTCTTCTCATAAAGAACAATTGCATTTGCAAAGCTTGAATTTGATTTTGCCTTTTCTAATTATAGGAAAATATTTGCTATCCTTGGACTTTATTTTTCCACTTGTCTAATGTAACATGATGTCATCTGATTCTTAATAGTTCTTCCTCTGGTTTTTAAATTTGTTTTTCTAGAATGAGGAAGTACACTGGGCCTTTAAATGTGTTAATATTTCTTGTATTTCTGTTCTTAGAAATGTAAAGCCAACAAAATTTAGTACTTTTTTTTTTTACATTGATGAGATATTTTATTTTTCTGTTTTGCAAAAAGGGCAGAATAGGAAGACACCGTTTTAAAATTATGCCTTGTTTAAAGTTTATTAATTTCTGTTGTGCAGCGGGGTGTTATCTGTCTCTGTGACTTTCAACATTTCCTATTGGGAGGACATAGTGTGTTCAATAATGTGTTCGATTGAATTAGTTTTCTAGGCTTCAGGAATGTTTTCTTCTCTGTATTATATATTATTATATACGTATTATATATGTATAATATATATATTAACCTGTTCATCTTTCATTCCAGCAGTTAGGTTTTTGTATCACATTGGTTATAATGTGTTAAAGAAAGTGTGAGTAAAAAAAACTAAATTTTGTTTTTAATGATATGTAGAAATGAGGAAAAGTGTTTCACCAAGTATTTTCCATGGCTCTCCCATGCAGGATAGACAGAGGTGGCGAGACTAGAGTCTCATCTCCCAGTGCCCACTTTCCCTCTGTTATTTTCCTTCCTCTCCCTCCTTGGAGTCCTGAACTGTGGGATTCATGGTCACTCTCTGTCAAATTGCCTCTTGCTATCGCGTTTTCATCCCTGCCTCCTTCGTGCTCAGAATGGGCCAAGAATGGCCTGCTGCCAGCCACATTTTTCTAGGTGATTTATCAGGAATGGAGGGATTGGTGTTTACTTTGACATAACAAAACTTAATCAAAACATAAAAGAGTGTGTTCTGTACACGCTGTGCACCATTTCCCACACTTTTTAGAAGCAGAAGATACCGGATCTACTCAGAAGACATGACCTACGTCCCCACAACGAATCACAAATGCTTCAGCCTTGCTTGAACATATACACTTTACCTACAGAAAAACATTAGATGTCAGCCGCGCAGAAAATGTGTGTACATCCCACAGGAAATTCCATACTTAGCCAAACTGTAGCCATATTTTACTTTACCTCTCTTACTATGATTTTGTTAGACTTTTAATTATTTAACCATGTTTTTACTTGTTTATTCCCTGTTTCTCTAATATCCATAAACTTTTAGATGTCAGAAATGTATTTTTTCTGTTGGTTTGTTTTGGGGTTTAGGGGGTTTTGTTTGTTTTTTTGAGACAGGGTCTCTGTCACTTAGGCTAGAGTGCCCACTGCAGCCTCAACCTCCCCGGGGCTGACGCCATCCTCCCGCCTCAGTCTCCCAAGTAACTGGGACTATAGGCGTGAGCCACCACATCTGCTAATTTTTATTTTTTTCTTTTTTTTGTAGAGACACGGTCTCACTTCGTTGCCAGCTGCTTTCACACTCCTGGATCTAAGTGATTCTCCTGCTCCAGCCTCCCAAAGTGCTGGGATTACAGGCATGAGCCACCTTGCCTGGACAGACACCAGAGATATATTTTTCATATGTTTACTTCGCAATATTTATTACTTAAATTTTTAACAAATAAATAATCTACGAAATTGTTACTAGAGCTTTCTGGTTTCAATAATGCCATACAAGGCCCAACACACTGCAAAGGTTTAAAGCCATACAAAGGGTACGCTCTTCATCCTGCAAATCTCAAACAATACTTCTATAGCATCCATATAAATTTGGAAATTGAGGACAGGACATCTCACTTGCCCATATGATAAAGAATAATCTGTGATAAAAGATATTAGAAAAAATTCAGAACTAAAAATTTACCTACTATAAATTTTGATATGGAATTTTAAAAATAATTTATTGTTCTTTTTAGACTTAATGAGACGGATGCTTACATAATTTACTTTTTAGAAGAAAGTACAAAGGATCAAATATTAGCAATAATAGTAGAAATCAAAGGAACAGCAAGCAACATATAAATATGCTCTAGACAGGTCAACAAAACCTAGAATTAGCTTTTTAAAAAAATGTGTAATGTTGATAAGCCCCTGAGAACATTGATGGAGAAAAAAAGGCAGTGGAAATAACCAATATTAGAAATAACAAATATATATCATTACCACTTTCAAAGTTTTTAACAGAGAAATATATATATATATATAATGAGTATAGTGTAACTATATAATAATGTAGAGTAAATATATAAATATATATTTCCATATAATAGAAATATATAAGGGAAAATATAATGCCCATGATTTTGAAGTACATATTAAATAGATTAATCCTCAAAAAACATACTTCACAAAGCCTGACCAAATAGATATAGAAATTTAAATCATCATAAAATTTGTAAATAAAATGAAACTATTATGAAAACTGCAGACCATAGAAACTATATTAGTGAATTTTACCAAATATTTAATGAAGGAATAATACCAATTTTTTACAAAATTTTTCAGACAACAGAGAATTATTAAATACACTCTAACCAATTTAACATGCCAGAAAAAAAAACTGATGCCAGATCTTGACAGAGAAGTGATAATAATAAAATACAGACCAAACTCATTCATGAATATAAATTCAAATATCCTTAAACAATGAAATTGATATAGTTAAAAAGTCATTCATAATTAATTTTAAAATAGCATTCTAAAAATCTAATTAAATACCCTTCATCTTAAGGAAAGGGTATATACAAAATAATGGAATCATGATATTTGTTGGAGAAATGTTGAAATCTTTCTCACTCAATCAAGATGAGGATGCCTTCTCTGCTCACATTTATTCTGTACATTGCTGAAGTGCTAACCCATTTAATAAAGGAAGAAAAAAATAATGAAATCTATCAGCTTTTGCAAAAAGGAATAACACCCTCATTATCCAGTGCATATAATTCTGTATTAAAAGTCCAATAGAATATACAGAAATGTTATTAAAAGTTTAATATGAAAATTATGAAATTTAAATACTATTACTAAAGAGAAACAAATGTTATAAGATATTTGTCGGTTCTAATAGTTTTTTGGTGGAGTCTTTCGGGTTTTCTATACATTAGATCATGTCATCAGAAAACAGACAATTTAACTACTTCTTTTTGTCTTTGGATGCCTTTTATTTCCTTTTCTTGCCTGATTGCTCTGGCCAGCTCTTCCACTTTGATGCTGAATAGAAGTGTGTGTTTGGTGGAGGGCAGCCTACCCTTGCTCTCGATGTTAGAGGGAAAGCTCTCAGCCCTTCACTATTGAGTGTGATCTGGCTGTGGGGCTGCCATGTGTCCTTCTGTGCCACATGTGTGCTGGGACATCACACTATACTGATGCTGAGAGCTTGATCATGGAAGGTGCTGAGCAGAAGCCTCCAGGGCACCCACCATCTTCCTTCTGTGCCACATGTGTGCTGGGACATCACACTATACTGATGCTGAGAGCTTGATCATGGAAGATGCTGAGCGGAGGCCTCCAGGGCACCCACCATCTTCCTTCTGTGCCACATGTGTGCTGGGGACATCACACTATACTGATGCTCACAGCTTGATCATGGAGGGTGCTGAGCGGAGGCACCCACCATCTTCCTTCTATGCCACATGTGTGCTGGGGACATCACACTATACTGATGCTGAGAGATTGATCATGGAAGGTGCTGAGCAGAGGCCTCCAGGGTGCCCACCTCCTTCTTTCTTCCTTTCAGGGACTCCCCATGCTTCTGAGATGCTGCAATGTTTTAGCTGTAATTGGGAGGGCCCAGGAGGTACAGGGCCACACTGTCTTGGATTAACCGTGGGTGTGCCCAGTTCTGCCTTGTCTTAGAGAGAGTCAACCCTCTCAGACTCCACTGTTGCCTGAAATCCGCCTCAGGTCATATGACAGAAGGGTCCAGAGCCCCTTCAGATGCTGCCAGGTTGGAAATCGGCCCTGGAATCCTCATGGCACCAAACTCAAGGGACCTGCGGTAAAGCCCTGGGAAATGGGAATAAGGACTAAGCAGGGCCCCAGATCTCGCCTTGAAAAAAGCAAGACAGTCCGGGATTTAAGAAATGCTGGGACTGCTGTGGCCACTGTGCTCTCAATCTGGAAGGAAATCAAGATCCAAGAGAGAGGTTGGGTAGACCCCATCCTGGGGCGCACAAGCTGTGTCCAAAGCAGTGATGCTGCTCTGAGGCACCCTCCGCAGTGTCACCTTACAGAGAGGAAGGTCATGGCTGGGGCGCAGCTCAGAGTCCAGTGGAGACCCGTCCATGTTAGTGCATAGGATTGATGACAGGTGCTTTCATCCCTGGGAATGATCCATAAATATTGCTGGATAGCCAACTGGAAAGTAATCATTTGAATCATTACTTTATAACTTAAACCACAGTAATTTTGATTTGAACAAGAAAGTATAACATAAATCAATAAAAATCATAAAAGAACTAGCATAAAATGTGATGGAATCTCAAAGTAGGAAATGTCTCCCTAAAACTATGTCACAGTTGAGAAGAAATAAGTGAAAAGCTAGATCACACACATGCATACACACACACACACACACACACCTTTGCAACCAAAAAAAAAAAGACACCAAATGAGTTCAAAGATCAATTACAAATTAGGAAAAAAAATGTAACTTTTATTATATCAAGAATTGTAGCTGTTGATCTATTGTAACATATATTGAAGTCCTAAAAACTAGTTGATACTCAGATTGTGTGTGTATATAAAAAACTATGTTACACTATACATATTTTATAGAAAGGAAAACTCATTGTTTTTTAAACATATGAAAAGATGTCCAAATTCTCTTTTAATAATAGAAATAAAAATGAAAAGCCAATAGAGACACAATTTTTCACCTATTTGAGTGATAAAGATGATGACAGACAGACATATAGGCAGATAGATAGATAGATAGATAGATAGATAGATAGATAGATAGACAGACAGATAGATGAGTAGCTCAATAGGTTGATAGATCAATAGATTGATAAATAGAGATATCTAACATAGGCAGAGAAAAACAGATTGTTTCATATATTGTCCATAAAGGATGTCAGAAGAATCCATTGGGAAGTAATTTGACAATATCTAGAAATGCATATATGCCAACAACTTTGATTCACTGATTTTATCCTTAGCGTTTTTCTATAGACACTACCTGTGTGAATGGGGCACTCACAATGGCATTGCAGCATAATTTTTGCTACCCCATGTAAAATAAGTACAAATTAAGTAAGCATCAAATAAATAAGTAGCTGTACAGACATCGCCTTCAGCTTCTTCAGCCTCCTACAAAATAAAAAATAAATCCAATCAGAGTCTTCATCATCATTATGCAATTTTTCTATCCAAAGGTCGGGGGGGGTTGAGCTCTGCATCTCTTTGCTGTTTCTTGTGAATGGACTATAATTGCATTCAAATTGACACCTTCAGAGTAAACTTTTTTTTGCATGATTTAACTGTGTTTACTATCTGTGCAAAGTGTCTGCACCCCAAAAACAAAGCTCTGTGATTTTAAAAATGATTCATTATCCACAAGTTGTTGCTTAGGAAAAGAATCATTTGGAGGAAATTGCAGGTGTGCAGATTTGAATGGATGATCGCTCTGTTTTTGAATTAGTTCCTCTGTATGTGTGTGCACCTGTGCATGCGTGTGTGCACGTGTGTGTGTCCGTGTGTGCATGTGTGTATGTGCATGTGCACATGCCTGTGTGCCTGTGTGCATGTGCCTGTGTGTGTGCCTGTGTGTGTGTGTGTATGCACCCATATTCTTTAGTACTTCAGCTTCCTCCTTCCCTTTTTGTGTGTCTACAGTATGGATATCAATGGTAGGCTTATTTCTCTGCCTTCTGGCCATGGTCATAAGATTTAGATGGAGTGTCATGATTGTGGATAAAAGTATACTGGCCTGTCTCTGAAACCTTCTGTTGAAAACAGATCATCTTGGGTTATTATTTTTGAATTATACAGTGTGGAGTAGAGGAACTGAGTAGGAATGGCATTAGCTCACCCTTCGAAGTGTATGTAGAATGAGTTTGGAACGAGAAGTTGACTGGAGGAGAAATATCCATGAAGGCTTGTTTGCAATGCATCACTAGACATGTTGACACCTGAGGAAGCAAGGATTTTGGGGCCACCTGGAGTGCCATGTTTCCCTCCAGTACAGAGAGTCCTTCTTCTATCCCCAAAAGATGCTTTCTGATTCAAGAGACGCTTAAGTGGCTCAAGTGGTTGAATCATTTCCAAAATGTTAACATACACAAAAGAAATTGTTTGGATTGATTTTCTCAAGAGGCATGGGATTTTCACCCTAGTGCTCATGGACCACAGATGCCAATAACAGAAGGAATTGTCAATCATCGATCCAGTAAATAGTCATCAACTTCAAAATTTCAAATCATAAATCCCAACACATACCCATTTTTTACACACAGCTTTAATTAATTCAGCATTATTGTGTGAATGATGATTTCAGATTTTCTACTTGAAATTCAGAGACATTGTTTAGAATCGGGAGAAAATAGAAGAAGAATAAGAGCTACCCAGGGACCATACTTAAGGGTCAATGCTATCCTCTATCAACTAGGAAAGATTTCTCTAGGAAAATCTCGTCTTGCTGTCTTGCCATCTCTAGCCCATGCAGCTAACAGAGGCATGGTTTCCTTTGAGCAGAGCCTGGAGAGATAATGGGGAACTATTTCCACCAAAATCAACTTTTATCAGCCTTCTCCTATGCCAGAATATCTGAAAAAGCAAGCATTCCACCTGTGTATGAAAGTCAGTTAAAATAGGAGTTTGATAGAGAATTCCATGCAGAACAGAAGTCCCCCCAACTGCATGTTAGTTTTCCACAGGTTCAGTTACCAGTGGTCAACTGTGGTTCTAAAATAGGTGAGTACAGTACAGGAAGATATTTTGAGAAAGAGAGAGAACACCTTCATATCACTTTTGTAACAGTATATTCAGTATATTGCTATGATTGTTATGTTTTATTATTAGTTATTCTTGTTAATTTCTTACTGTGCTTAATTCATAAAATGAACATCATCATAGGTATGTATGGGTAGGAAAACACAGAACTAGTATTACTCAACTTTGAGACTTTTTATAAGGATATATTAATCTAGACCATGCAGTGCTGGTAAAGACTAGACAAATAGATCAGTGCGGTAGGATAGAGACCCCAGAAATGGGATCACATGAATTTAGTCACCTGATCATTGACAAAGAAGCAAAGGCAACTCATTGGAGAAAAGAATCTTTTTGACAAATGGTGCTGGAACAACTGGACATCCACATGCCAAAAAAAAAAATGAACTGTAACATTGACCTTATATACGTTCGCAAAAATTAACTCAGAATGGATACTAGAACTGAGTGTAAAATGCAAAAGTATGAATCCCCAAGAAGATAACATATGAAAATCTAGGTGACCCTGGATTTAGCAATGACTTTTTAGATACAACACTGAAAGTATGACCCATGAAAAAAAATAGTAAGCTGGACTTGGTTAAAATAAAAAATTTCTGTTCTGCAAAAGATACTGTTAAGGTAATGAAAAAATAAGCCACAGACTGAGAAAAAAATATTTTCAAGAGACATATCTCATGAAGGATTGGTATTCAAAATATACAAAGACCTTAAAATTCAACAATAAGAAAACAAACAATCCAGTTAAGAAATGGGCAAAAGATATGAACAGACACTTCACCAAAGAAGATATAAAGATGAAAAATAGGTCCATGAAAAAATTGAAAAACCCTATGTTACTAGGAATTGGCAAGTTCACAGTGAACTGCTACTATATACCTATTAGCATGAACAAAATGCAAAACGCTGACACCACCAAATGCTGGTGAGGATGTGGAGCAACAGGAATTCTCATTCATTGCTGGTGGAAATGGTGCAAAATGCAAAATGGTGCTCCACTGTGGAAGACAGTTTGACAGTTTCTTTAAAAACTAAACATACTCTGACCATGGAATTCAGCAATTGTGTTTCTTGCTATTTATTCAAAAGAGTTAAAAACTTTTGTCTACACAAAAGCCTGCATACAGAAGTATATAACAGCTTTATTCATAATTGCCAAACCTTGGAAGAAACTAAGATGCCCTTCAGTGAGTGAATGGATAAATCAACTGTGCTCCATCCAGAGAGTGGAATGTCATTCAACACTTAAAATAAATGAACTATGAAGTCATGAAAAGACATGGAAGAAACTTAAATGTATGTTACTAAGAGAAAGAAGTCAATCTGAAAAAGCTACATCCTGTATAAACCCATCTATGTGACATTCTGAAAAACGAAAAACAATGGAGATGGTGAAAAGATCAGTGGTTGAGGAAGGGAGGGAGGAACAGGGCATAGGGGATGCTTAGGGCAGTGAAACTACCCCGTAAGACACTGTAATAGTGGACACATGTCATTACACATTTGTCTAAACGCATGTAATTTATAACACCAGGAGGAAATCCCAGCATAAACTATGGGTTTTGCATGATAATTATGTATCAGTGTAGTTTCATCAATTGTAACAAATGTACTGTTAAGATGTCTATGCTGCCTGGTGTACAATCAGTTACAGAGTTGCACTGCTATTGATCAAGCTATGGTGGAATAACAAAATTGTAGCATGCACAGCAACCCATGGGGGAGATGCTGTTAATGAGGTCGCTTTTGCCTTGTGTTAGGAAGGGGTATACACGAACACTCTGTACTTCCCACTACATTTTGCTGTAAACTTAACATTGTTGTAATAGAATCTGTATTAATCATAAAATGAGGATGTAAGAAAATATTTCTGGTTTAATTATAAATGGGTCAAATATTTTTAAATAATTATTTATAATATGGATCAAAAATTTTAAATATCATTTCTTTCAGACTGCTCATTTTCTTTCAAGTCTGTTATCCAAAGCAAACAATCATGTATAGCAACATTTTTATAAATAAGAAAATATATTTTTAAAAATCTTTCAGTATTTAATAATTTATATCAATTAAATCATTATTACCTCCACACAGTGGAATATTATGTAGCTATAAAAATGCATTTTAGAAATAATTCAGACATTATAGGATGCTGTCACAATATAATATGAAGAGGAAAAAATATTATAAAACAGTTTATATAATACAGAATTGTATGAATAACCATATGCAAATCATGTGCATTTATAATATATTTGAATGTATTTGTAATATATTTGAATGAATATATGGAATCAATCAGTTTTAAACTCCATATGCTTATTAATAAGGGGCATTGTCATGAGTAGTGACTATCTGGGATCAGTGTGACTCAGGCAGTAAAAAGAACTTAGCAAGACAGTTGTAGGTAAAGAAATACAGATTTATTAGAGAAAGTAGGAAAATACGTTGCAAGAAAGCAATGGGCAAGTCGGCAAGAGAGGAGCTGGCTGCAAGGGGACAGAGACTTGCTGGGGATTTTATAGGAAGGTGCTTGTGCTGGAGAGAGCCACTTGCAGTACTAATAACACCAAGGTTGCAGTGAGCTAACTGGCATTTTTCTATCAGCACAGGGTCTGGGGATAGCTGGGCCCAGGAAGATTGTGAGTTATTTGCACAGGAGGGCTGTGTGTCCTGCACCGTGAAGAAAGGCAGGCTTACAGCATATCTGCTTCTGCTTTTTGCTTTCCCCATCTCCCCCCAGCCTGGCTCCTGTTCCCTTATTAGGACTCCACAGTCATGGCTGTTATTGATCTGCCATTTCTAACCATTGTATTGAGACCCTGACTCTTCTGCCCTGGTTTCTGGACTTTCCTTCCTTCCCCTCTGCCTTTGGCCTCATTTGAGACTGGATTAAATGCTAGCTGTGCTTCCTCCCTTGCGTGCACACCCAGAAGTTAACCAGCAGAGTGTCTTGGCTGAGCTTCTCTCCCCATTTCTCCTCTGCATAATCCCAGGAGATCCTTCAGGGTTTCCCGAGTTCCCTGCATGTCAGTGGACCACATAACTCACCTGCTGACCAGAAATATTTTGGGTGGCTTTGCCTCTTATATTTTTCTCTTGCAAGAAACTTCAAACACACTGACCATGTTTTGGCAAAATCCATTTGTATCACAGTTGACCATACTACAAATTTGTTTTCTTTGAATACTTCCTTATTGGGATGTATTCTGCAGTAATGCCAGAAAAAAATGCATCAAATATTCTAGGATGCTCTGAGCGGTTTCCACTTCTTCAGCTACCATGGGTTATTTTATGTGCTTGTCATCCCTTGAGTCTGCTACTGTTCACGAGCCCCACCTGTTCTTCAACTCACCAAAGCCTCAATATCTAAGACATAACTTTATTTGTTTGCTTTGTTTTTCTGCCTGATTAAAGTCATGTTTTACTTTCTCTGGTTCAAATTCCTCTGAGACATTACTTGATCACCCTCTGTTACTTTTTGTTCTTCGGGGATTTTTTGTTTGTTTGTTTTGTTTGTTTGTTTGTTTTTGAGATAGAGTTTCGCTCTTGTCACCCAGGCTGGAGTGCAGTGGTGTGATCTCGGCTCACCATAACCTCTGCCTCCCGGGTTCAAGCAATTCTCCTGCCTCAGCCTCCTGAGTAGCTGAGATCACAGGCATGCACCACCACACCCAGCTAATTTTTCATATATTTAGTAGAGACCTGTCTCTACTCCCAACCTCAGGTGATCCACCCGCCTCAGCCTCCCAAAGTGCTGGGATTACAGGCATGAGCCACCATGCCTGGCCTGGGTTTTTTTTAATTAGATCTACTTACTTTTTTTTATTATTATTATTTTTGGGGTTTTTTTCTTCTTTCATTAAATCCAGGAAATGTGTTTTCACTCTCTCAACTACTCTCTCTTCATTAAAAAAAAATCCCAATAAGATATATGCATTCCCTTTGCAGCTAATCCAAGGCATCTAATTTAAAATGCATTACTCTCAATTTGATATTGCATGTTTTTTAAATATAGAAATTACTTTTCAGGCTGGGTGCAGTGGCTCATGCCTGTAATCCCAGAACTTTGCAAGGCCAAACTGAGAGGATTCCTTGAGCCCAGGAGTTCCAGACCAGCCTGGGTAACATAATGAGGCCCTGCCTCTACAAGAAAATATAATTAAATTTAAAAATTAATTAGCTGGGTGTGGTGGTGTGTGCCTGTGGTCCCAGCTACTTGAGAGGCTGAGGCAGGAGAATCACTTGGGCTTGAGAGGTCAAGGCTGCAGTGAGCTGTGATTGCACCACTGCACTGACAGAGGGTGAAACCATCTCAAGAACAATTATTTTTCATAAAAATAGAGTTGATATGTAATCCCAGCACTTTGGGAGGCCAAGGCTGGTGGATCATGATGTCAGCAATTCGAGATCAGCCTGGCCAATATGGTGAAACCCCATCTCTACTGAGAATACGAAAATTAGCCAGAGGTAGTGGCACGCACCTGTAGTCCCAGCTACTCTGTAGGCTGAGGCAGAAAAATTGCTTGAACCCAGGAGGCGGAGGTTGCAGTGAGCCAAGATCGCGCCACTCCAGCTTCAGTGAGAGAGCCAGACGGTGTCTGAAAAAAAAAAAATAGAGTTCTTATGTTTCACATTTATCTCAAAAAAAAATGTGACTATATCTTTAAGTGAGAACAACAGAACCAAAAATAAGGAGGTACACAACCATAAAGACAAACACATTTTAATTGAAGGAGCAGACACCAGAAATACAAAAGAAACTTACGCAAACTAGTTAGTAGGATAGCCTGACTGTTGATCTCTATCATTTCCTAAGCCCCCTACCCACGGAATGTTTGCTGCATGTTTAATAGACTGAATTATGTAGAAAGACATCTTGAACTTTGATTACTATGAGAGCTGAAGGAAGTACCTACAATACAGTATCTTCTATTTTGACATGTCTATTACAGGGGCCTGGGACAGGGCAAGAGCTCACAATACTCTTTAAATACTCTCAGGCTTATTTCACTCATCATGGTGAGTATTAAATAAGATCACATTTAATTAAATAAAAAAGCGCTTGGTATGTGTGAAATGTACAATAAAACATGGATTAAATCATAAGCAAACCAATGCTGATGAGACTGAGAAACCCCATCTCTACTAAAAATACAAAAAATTAGCCGGGCGTGGTGGTGGGCACCTGTACTCCCAGCTACTCAGAGGCTGAGGCAGGAGAATGGCTTGAACCCGGGATGCGGAGGTTGCAGTGAGCCGAGATCGCGCCACTGCACTCCAACCTGGGAGACAGAGCGAGACTCAGTCTCAAAAAAAAAAAAAAAAAAAAAAAAAAAGACTGAGACTCTGCATAGATAAAAGGCCGGCAACGGAGACTTCCTGGAAGAAGCAGTGAACTCACGTGAACTCACGCTTCCTCACCGATGTTGCTCTGTGAACAGCGTGCGGTGCTGGGGCTGGTTTCTGCCCCCACCATGTCGCTGCTTCGGATGCTGGGATTCCGTTATTCCACCATAACTTGATCAATGGCACTGCGGCTATGTAACTGATTGTACATCAGACAGCATAGATACCTTTGATTAATCTCCTCCTGGTAGGTTTAAAAGACGAAAAAGCCCCTGAGGATTCCCGTTTGCTCTCCTTCTTTGCACAGATCAGAGACAAATAGTTCTTTCCTATGTTATTCTTGTCTTGTGTAAAGACGGTTTGTACAAGAAAGCCCCTGGTGTAAACAGTATTGAAACATTGTTCTACAAGATTAAAGCCCCTCTAATGATCTGACCCCTGGAGTGTGTCTTCTTGCAGGCTGCATTGATGTAACTGTGCTGAGGCGGCGGGAAATGATATCAGCACATGGAATGGAAAGTAAATAAAAAAGTAAAAACTGAGACAATCATAAAATCAGGTTTGCTCCAATCTTTTAATATAAATACAAAAGAATTATAGACAATTATAGACAATATATTAGAATCTATGCACATGTATCTATATGTGTGTATATATACACATATTTACACACGTGTATATACACGTATAGATATACTTCTACGTGCATGCATTCTAATTTTAGTTGATACATTAGGTATATGTAATTTATCAACTAAAATACAGATGAAATGCATAGGGTGTTTTTATGGGCTCTGAGGGCATATTGAGCTAGGTAAATGGGATTATTACAAATAGGAAAAGCTAAAAGAAAAATAAATCAAAATATAGGTACAACGAAATAACAACACTGAAATTTGAAAACACTTCCCAGTTTATCACTTTAGGACTTGTAGGAACAGGATTATTTTCCCTGCTGCATCGGAAAGTTGTTCAATGTCAGTTTTTATTCCCCAGAAGGAAAATTTAGTCTGACTGTCACAATAATCTCTTTGGATCAGTGAATCATTTACAACTTAATTTAGCAAAGCGCTGCTTTTATTTCCCACCCAAGGTTGGTAAAGCAGACACATGTCTGAATCTGGCTGTGACCCCCTGAGCTGCCTTTTAATGCACTCACAATGATCCAAAGATTACAAATAAATCGAAAGATTACAAACAAATTGCTGCCCAAGACTGCACACTTCCGTCCAGCTGCTCTGCCCTGGAGTGGACAGGAGCCAGGGACAGTCAGTGACCACTTTGCAGATGTCTGTTCTATCATAAGAAGGGGCGCTCAGCTGACCTTTCGAATTAGTCTTTCTCATGGGAAAGTTAGAGTGGAGGAGGGTTCATATGAATAATCTTTTTTAAAATGTCCTTGCAGAATTTACTGAATCCTTGACAGAGTCCAACTCACTTAGTACAGCTTAACCCAAACTTGAGAATACTGCGAGGAGAAAACCACTCATTGCCACTCCTTGGCCCTGTTTGAAGGGCTGCATTTTTTTCCCGTAAATAAGCACACCATAAACCAGCATACCTTAAAGTGTTTTCCATTTTAAAATGCCGTTTGAAATGGGGTCCTGTGGATTGAAAAAAAAAGCAGGAAGCTTTGGATTTAACAAGGTATGAGAGATTTCTTCACCCCAGGGATTCCAGGATCCTGTAATATACTAATGAGCCTTACGATCTGCAGAACGGATTAAATTAATGTGTGTGTGCTATAAACGGTTCAAGTGCTGCCTTTGGCTACTTCACGAGAGTCTTACGTGCTCAAAGTGGATTTAATTTGGATGTCAAATATTCAACTGTTATCCAAAACATAGTATTCGATCACTGGATATCTCATGCCCGGGTTCAAAGGCATTGACTTACTAGCAAGCCTTCGAATGCATCACGATCACCACCGGTTTGGATCAGTGTCTCCAACAACCTGGGGTGGGGATGATTTTCATCCTCATATTCTTCACTGTCACACTCACCACTGCATGGGTCATTACATTCCATGTGTCCTGTAAGTTCCTCTAGCTGGTCTGTCAAATCATTAGGATTTATCCCTAATATAGATCACCTTACAGATTTCCACCAAAATGTCAGGATGGATTTTTAAATTTCTGGAACACATCCTGCTAAGGATGGTGGATACTATGGTGGATGCTATGGTATATACTATGGTGTATAGTATGGTGTAAACTATGGTGTATACTGTGGTGTATATTGTGGTGTATACTATGGTGTGTACTATGTTGTCTACTACGGTGCATACTATGGTGTATACTATGGTGTATACTATGGTGTATACTACTGTGTATACTATGGTGTGTACTATGGTGTATACTATGGTGTATACTGTGATGTATACTGTGTTGCATACTATGGTGTGTACTATGGTGTGTACTACAGTGTATACTGTGTATACTATGGTGTACACTATGGTGAATACCATGGTATATACTATGATGTATACTGTGGTGTATATACTACAGTGTATACTATGGTGTATTCTAGGGTGTGTACTACGGTGTATACTATGGTGTATACTGTGGTGTATATTGTGGTGTATACTATGGTGTATACTACAGTGTATACTACGGTGTATACTATGGCGTATACTATGGTGATTTTTTGTTTGTTTTTGATTTTTGCCACTTAGCAATAATTCTTATCAGTAAAAAGTCACAAAGATCAAGGAGCAATTTTTTTTTCAGATTTGCCTATGGTAGGATTAAATAGGAGAATTTTAAGGTACCACTTTTTGATTCTAGAGAGATCTTTGTCTTCACTCAGTTTCATAAACTATAGGAAAAGCATCATTGTTTTTTACTGGTATTTTTATTTCACTTTTGCTGCTTGTGTTTATGTTTTAATCTTCCCATGTGTCATATATTGGGAGTTGATGGCAACATGGCCAGAACAGTAACTTTTAATCCCCAAGCCCATATCAGCCGTGCTTCCTACGACTGGCTAACGAAGATTGGTGAAAACATAGACTTTCCCGGTCACAGGATTCCTCCAGCCATTGAGGCTGTGGCCCTCTGAACAGCTTATCTGCTGTATGTTTCAAAATGCTTATTTTTTAATATTATTAATTAAATTAAGTATTAATTTTTATTAAGTATATTGAAACATACAGCAGATAAGCTGTTCAGAGCTGCATCATTATAACAATGTCTTTCTTTTCTATATCCCCCAGCCTCCTGTATGCAAAGTCAAGAGAAAATAATAAGAGAAATGAAGAGAAAATAATAAAATTCAGTTTGAAAAAATTTCCATTGCGACTGCTGTAGCTGCACTTTGATTTCTGTTGCCATCGGCTCTGTCGCGAGCCTCCAGCTCCATGACCTCCCTTGTCCTCACTTGTGTCCTCCAACATTAATTAGTTTGCACTTTGTGAATGGTTCCTGCTGCCTCGGAGCCCAGGAGTTAATCATGGCAAGAGGGAACTTGTGTTCACTCAGAGACTTTATATTACAGCACTAATTGTACAATTAGTCTGAGGTCAGGTGGGCAGAGGCGTCCCATGCAACCTCGTGCTGGGGAGAGGACATCCATCTCAGCTGGGCCAGGTGCCTCGCTGGCAGCCGCTTAGGGAGGGCACTAAACACGGCAAGCACAGCGAAAATAAGACCTGGATTGAAATCTCCATCTGTGATCTCTGGATAGGATGGGCAAAACATTGGTAAGGGGGCCACTTGCTGAGTGTTCAAGGGTAGGATTTAATAAAATACAAAATTCCAGAGGAATGTGGAGGAGAGGCACTGTAGGCTGCAGTCTTGAATCGTTACATGCAACGCGGTAAGTCAGGGAAGACGTGAAAAACATGTCCCTGTGTTTCTCCGAAAATTGTAAATATATGCAATTATGTTTCAGAAGATTCTGGAGCCCACAGGACAACACATATTGTATGCATAAATGGGATACACATGCATACACACATACATATATGTGTATATATACACATATATATATAAAATTAACATTTCATGTAAAATTAAGTTTAAAACAGGGAGTAGAATGCTACATTTAGATTAACTTTTAACATAAAAGAGTTCTAATTCTTTTGATATTTGGTGTGATTCTCTCAACATTATCTAGCCACTGGGGGCGGCCTTTCATAACCATCCAGTATAGTTGTGGTTCAGTGAGAATTCCAAGAGAAATGACTTAATAGGTACAATATATGTTATTTGGATGATGGATATCGTAAACACCCTGACATCACCACTATGCAATCTGTGCTTGCAACAAAATTGTACCTGTACCCCCTAAAATTATACAAACAACAATTTTAAAAAGATTTGTAAGGCATTCTAATCTATTCTATATCCACAAACATCATCATCATGTCTGAATATCCTGCATTGAGGACATGTGTACATAGAGATATGAGAAAATAGATCAAAAAGCATAAGTATATTAATGAAAGCAACACTAGTACATTTTAAATGTAACAACTTCGAGGTAGTCTTACTTTCTAAGCCTCTGGTAAGGTCATTTCTGTGTTGGAGAGATATTTTGTTTAGGCTACAGCTATATTTCATAGAACAGAAAGAAGCAATTCTGCATAATTAATGGATTAGAATAGAGAATTCTTGGGGGAAATTCACAGGAGGGAGAGTGTTGGCAATGAAGCTGAGTGCTGCACATGGGGACAGGAGGCCAGTGATGGGCAAAGCAAGTCCTCCAAGGACAGCAGCACGCCTGAAGGAGCCTCCGTTGCCTGTGCAGCATCCTTTATAAAGCGCCTGCTCTGGTCCTCAGGTAATGTTGATATTCTATCCAAAAACCCTGCGTGTGTGGATCTACTTTTCTGGAGAAATGTGGGGAGGCGGAGTTCAAGAGGAGGGTGAGATAGCAACTCATGTCATACTCAAATGTGGCATTCCACCTAAGACTGCAATAAGCTGCAGAGCACCCTGAAACCAAGAGATGGGCTCGTCCCTATGGTGGTGACCAAAATGCAAGAAGAGAGAGGTCGAAGAGTAGCGATCAGAGAGCAGGTGCCAGGGACAGGCCAGCTGCTCTTCGATGTAAGTTCTAGCTGGGCACTCTGGCTCACTCCTGTAATCCCAGCACTTTGGGAGGTTGAGGTGGGTGGATCGCCTGAGGTCAGGAGTTCAAGACCAGCCTGGCCAACATGGTGAAACCCGTCTCTACAAAAATACAAAAATTAGCTGGGTGTGGTGGCACATGCCTGTAATCCCAGCTACTTGGGAGGCTGAGGCAGGAGAATCTCTTGAACTCAGGAGGCAGAGGTTGCAGTGAGCCCAGATTGTGCCACTGCACTCCAGCCTGGGTGACAGAGTGAGACTCCATCTCAAAAAAAAAGTTTCTACACTTACCTGCTATTTAAAACTCAAGAGGGGTACTTGACAGTGACATATTGGTAGACATGTGGCTAGTTGTTATTGGTTATTTCCTTTTTGTTTGATAATTCTTTACAAATGTATTAAATTCTTTATTTCTGCTCAAGACACAGAAAGTTGAAATAAAGCATCACATTGCCATGACAACAGACACCACTCAAAGACTCTCCAGAGTGAGAAGGCCTCGATGCCCATCCGAGAGTGGAGGAGGCAGAGAAACCCAGTGGGCCGGGAAGATGAGTCTCCTCCTTGGAAGAGGAGATGCTCAGTGACTTTTATCTTCACTGGAATCACAGATCAGGGAGGGAGCTGCCCTCCGTGGAGGAAGGGGCAGGTAAGAACATGGCAGCTGAATTTCCATGGACTTTAGGGCCAAGTACCCACTGGAATGGTGGGTGAAAGCCGCGAGGAACCCCATGAAGGGTTGGCTTTCACCTGCCTGTCCTTACCGATGGGTCTCACCTTTATGCTCATAAAAAGCTTCAGGCGGAGCAGGGGAGCAGAGAACCCCAGGGCTGGTCCTGCTCAAGTCTGGGGGAAAGACTAAGACATTGAGAAGAACAAAGACTCCTAGGCACTCACCTCCTCAAAAACTCTTCTCACACTGCTCTCAAATTATTAGCACCTCAGAGCGAATTGACTCTAGTTAGGAAAAATAAATCCCAGATTGAACTCAGCCACAGAGTAGATTGACCCAAGACCCAAATTGGCCTCCTGACACAAGAGGCATGGAGCTTTCTGGGTGTAAAAATGATGCATCTAATTATCTTCTGGACGTTTTACACAATATACCTGAAATCCAATAAAAAAATTAGTTGATACTTGAAGAAGCAAGGAAATTTGACATCTACCAAGACAGGACTGAGCAAAACCCAGAGACAGGCAAATGCAGGAATTCTAGATTGGGACTTAAATCAATAACAACAAAAATCTATGGAAAATTATTTTAGTAAATGAATAAAAGAACTGCACAATAAATATAAACAGATGGGAAGTTTAAGAATAGAAAGGGAAGTACAACAGGAAGGAAGGAAGGAAGGAAGAAGGAAGGAAGGAAGGAAGAAAGGAAGGAAGGAAGGAAGAAAATGAGAGGAAACAGTATCCTTGAATGGGTTGTTGGGAAAATCTGATGGCAAAGGTCGAGGAGCAGAAGCAGAGGTAGTCATGGAGCTCTAACTGGAGGTGGATGTGTCTGGTACAGTAAATATTATGCTTTATCCCCTATCTTTCCCCTGAGATTATATGATAAATTTTTGAAACGGCAAATATTTTGAGAAACATATAAAATGTGGAGGAAAATATTATCTTTTTAAGAGACGGAAAAAATGTAGAAAAAGATAAGATTTTGCAGAGAATATCTATCATTCAGCCCACTGTCATACAAACATTAAAATCCCACAACCTGAGAATAGAGGAAGAGGAGCAGAATCCACTGAGGGACAGTGAGCAGGCTGAGAGCTGCGCTGAGGAGGACCAGGAGAACCACAGCCCCTCCTGGGTGGGCAAGGGAGGATTGGGGAGCTGTCCGAGGAAAAGCTGTCAAATGACTGTTCATCTGCGTGATTGTTTCACCTCTTTTGTCAGTTCTTTGGGGAGAGAGTAAGTCATTCTGGGACAAAACTTAATCCTCAACAGGGAAAATATCATCTAATGAGCAATTACAATAAAAGATGTACTAGAATAAATGCTGTATCCAACACCAAAGGGAAGGTCGATTACTGGCTATGGAAAGGTCAATATGGAAAGATCCTGAGGTGGGCTGGTTAGATGTAAACCCAGGCACACAGCCAGCCAATGGCAGCAGGGAAAATACAAGAAAAGGACACCCCATTATCCTCTATTCGATGCCTTCCTAGTAAACCATCCACCAAAGAAAAAAGTGAGCTACTGATAGGACTGATTTTAATCGATAAATTTTGATGAAATGGATTCAACTGAATAAAGATTATTTTATTGTATAAAAATATATTGTATAAAATATAAAATGCTGTCCTCAGATTAATTCACAATCCCTGGTGTTTTTGATCTTTCAACATTTTAGGCCTGCAAGTCAGTCCTGTAGTCAATCAGGAAATGAACAAGCTGAAGGCCAGAGCATTCTTACTTAGTGACCTCGGGAGGCCCTTCCCGCCTCCTCCCGGGCATATTATGCTATTCTGGCGTTTGTTTTGAGCCTTGTAAGGTAAGAAGCTAACTTGCTGGCCAGTCGCAGTGGCTCACGCCTGTAATCCCAGCACTTTGGGAGGTCGAGGCGGGCAGGTCACAAGGTCGGGAGATCAAGACCATCCTGGCTAACACGGTGAAACCCCGTCTCTACTAAAAATACAAAAAATTAGCTGGGCGTGGTGGCGGGCGACTGTAGTCCCAGCTAGTCAGGAGGCTGAGGCAGGAGAATGGCGTGAACCCGGGAGGCGGAGGTTGCAGTGAGCCGAGATTGCACTACTGTACTCTGGCCTGGGCGACAGAGCGAGACTCCGTCTCAAAAAAAAAGAAAAAAAAAAAAGTTAACTTGCTAATAGAAAACCAAAAGAGGTCAGATTTGGACATTAATTAAATTAGCTTTAAGGTCGTATTGCTTTTTGCGCTAAAATTTACTCCTTTTCATCCCATGTTATCCAAAACTATTCACTAGGGATGATTGTAAATAGCTCAAGATTCTAGCTAAAAAAACCCCACAAATATTAAAATGAAACCATATTTGATAGATATTGAAATGATAGCTTATTGCTTTATATTTACATATAATACAAGTATAAGTCACAATTACCCATCTCAATGAATTTCTACATGTGTGTATACCAATGTAGGTACCGCCTGATAGATTCAGAATATTTTTATCATCATTGCATTTTCTCTCATGCCTCTTTCTATCTATATATTCTCACACTCAATTCAAAGATTGGTTTTGCCTGTTCAAAAACTTTAAGTCAGTGAAATAATACAGGATAGACTCTTTTCCATCTGACTTCTTTTGCTTGGCATCCACTTTTCATGTCCTCTGTGTTGTATCAGAAGGTTGTTCTGCTCTATTGCTGATAGTACCCCATCATATGAATAAGACCATAATTTGGTTATTCATTCTCCTGCATTAGCAAGCCACATGCAGGGGAATGAAACTGGATCCTCATCTCTACCTTATACAAAAATTAACTCAAGGAACTAAATCTGAGACCTGAAACTATAAAAATTCTAGAAGATAACATTGGAAACTCTCTCCCAGACATTGGCTTAGGCAAGGATTTCATAACCAAGCACCCAAAAGCAAATGCAATAAAAGCAAAGATAAATAGTTGGGACCTAATTAAACTAAAGAGCTTTTGCACGGCAAAAGGAATAGTCAGAAGAGTGAACAGACAACCCACAGAGTGGGAGAAAATCTTCACAATCTACACATCTGATGAAGGACTAATATACAGAATCTATAACAAACTCAAACAAATTAGCAAGATAAAGATGAGCAATCTTATCAAAAAGTGAGCTAAGGACATGCAAAGACAATTCTCAAAAGAAGATATACAAGTGGCCAACAAACATATGAAAAAATGCTCAACATTACTAATGATCAGGGAAATGCAAATCAAAATTGCAGTGTGATACCACCTTACTCCCACAAGGATGGCCATAATCAAAAAATCAGAAAATAACAGATGTTGGCATGGATGCAGTGAAAAGGGAACACTTCTACACTGCTGGTGGGAATGTAAAGTAGCACAGCCACTATGGAAAACAGTATGGAGATTCCTTAAAGAACTAAAAGTAGAACTACCATTTGATCCAGCAATCCCACTCCTGGGTATCTACCCAGAGGAAAAGAAGTCATTATTTGAAAAAGATACTTGCACACGCATGTTTATAGCAGCACGATTCTCAATTGCAAAAATGTGGAACCAACCCAATTGCCCATCAATCAACAAACGGATAAAGAAACTGTGGTATGTATACACAATGGAATACTACTTAGCCATAAAAAGGAATGAATTAATGGCATTCGCAGCAGCCTAGATGGGATTGGAGAATACTATCCTAAGCAAAGTAATTCAGGAAGGGAAAACCAAATATTGTATGTTCTCACTCATGAGTAGGAGCTAAACTATGAATATGCAAAGGCATAAGAATGATACAATGGATTTTAAGGACTTGGGGGGAAAGGGTGAGAAAGGGGTGAGGGATAAAAGACTACAAATTGGGTTCAGTGCATACTGTTCAGGTGACGGGTGCACCAAAATCTCAAAAATCACCACTAAAGAACTTACTCATGTAACCAAACACCACCTGTTCCCCAAAAACCTATAAAAATAAAAAATTTTTTACAAGTTTTTGTTTTTTTATTTTTATTTTGTTTTTTGATATTAATAAAAACATGCCTAGAGAATTATTATAGGTTTTTTTCATTTCTTTTCCCCCTGTAAGTAGGTAGTCTGGTAAGCAGGCACCTGGTAAGGTAAAGTTTTTTTTTTTTTTTTTTACTTACAGGTAGAAAAGAAATGGACATATTTTTTCAGTGGGTCTCATGAACATAAATGTTTAACTTTATTAGAAATTTGTGGACAGTTTTCCAACAAATTTGTATCATTTTACTCTTCAGGTAGCAATATTTGTAAGTTCCAGTTGATCTACATTTTTGCCAAGATTTATTATTAGTATTTTCAATCATTTTAATGTCACTCTGTAGTATAAAAATGGGAATATCTCATTGTGGTTTTAACTTGCAATTTTCTGATGACTAATGGTGTTGAGCACCTTTTATTTGCTTATTAGCCATTTATGTGTCTATTTATGGGAGGTAACCAATTAAGTCTTTTCTCTATTTTCTATTTATTTGGTTATCTTTTAATTTATGATTAAAGGGAATTCTTATTAAAGGGATTTCTTGGTTTTATTTTGAGACGGAGTTTTGCTCTTGAGGGATTTCTTTATATATATTATAGATGAAAGTCTTTTGACAGATATATATATATATATAAAATATTTGTGGCTTCTCTTTCCAGTTCTTACAGTTTCTTTTGATAAGCAGGAATGTTCATTTGTGATGAAGCTAAATTTATCTTTCTTGCTATATGTTGCATGCTTTTCTTCTGTGCTGTTCATTCAAAAACTTGTGCCAATCTAAAACCTGTGAAAATACTATTTAGTGTTGTCTTCTACAATATTTATACTGTTAAATGTCTTAATTCCAATTTAAATTACTTATCTATGTGGTAGCAGTCAAAGTTAATTTTATTTGAAATCAATATCTTTTCAGCAACAATTGATTGTGAGAACTTCCATTTGTTACTAAATTATGGCGGAGCCTTTGTTGGTAATCAAATGGCCAAATGAGCATGAATACATTTTTGGACTCCTCATTTGCTATATTCGTCTAATTTTCTAATGGTATACAAACAAGATACTCTATTATTGACTACAAATTTATGGTAAGTCATGAAATAAGACCGAGTAAGTCCTCCCATTCTTTTATTTTTACCTAAGCTTCTCTTGGCTATTCTGAGTGCTTTGAATTTCCATATAAAATTATAGACTCTGCTTGTCAATTTCTACAAAATAAAGCATCCTGGGACTTTTGTTTGGATTGCATGAAACCTGCAGATTAATTGGTAGAGAATAACAGCAATGCTGGGTCTTCCAATTCATGAACATTATATAACACTCAAATCTTTAAGATCTTTTAAATTTCCCTTTAGCTTTATTTTGCAGTCTTTTGTGTAATATATTTTAGTTGTTATTAAAGAGTTTTGAAAGTATTTAGTGTCTTTATGCTACTATAAATGCTTTTCTAAAAGACATTTTTCATTATTCATTGTTAATATGAGAAAATGCAATTGGTGTTTGTATCATAAATTGATATCCTGAAACTTTGCTAAATTCACATTAATTCCAGTAGATTGCATTTTTTTGCATATCCAACTAAGCATCATGCAAACAGAAATTTTAATATTTATGATCTTTATTTATTTTTCTTGCCATATTGCATGGGCTAGAAACTTTTATCCCATACTGAAGCAAAGTAGTGAGAACGGACACTCATGCCCTATACCATAACTTGCAAGAAATTTAACTCTACCAAATCTTAGCTATAGATAACTCATGGATGTCACTTATCATATTGAAAAAGTAAGCTTCTCTTCCTTGTTTGTTGGTAGGTTTCATCTAAACAAATTTTGATTTTCTCAAGTGCCCTTTTTGCATCTATTGAGAACATCGTGCAGCTCTTATTTAAAAGTCCGTTAAGATACAGGTTGAGGAATTTTCAAATGTTAAATTAAAATTACATTCTTTAGATAAACTTGCTCATAATGTGTAATTTTTAATATAGCTGGATTTGCTGATCTAAATTTTTATTAAGGATTATTGTATCTATGTTCATGAAAATATTGGCACGAACTTTGCTTTTATTGTTACATGTGTTTGTGATTTTTGGGTAATACCGGCCTCATTAAATGGATTGACTACTTCTTAAGTCTTCTATTTTCTGGAAAAGAATATGTAAAATGGTATTACATATCCTTTATTTATTTCACACTAATCATCAGTAAAGCCACTGGGACTAGAATATTCTTTAAGAAAATGATTTTAGTGATGACTGTAATTTATGATTTTATTTATTTACTAGATCTAGAACAAGTCACACTCCTTTTTTATTTTTGACGGAGTCTTGGTCTTGTCACCCAGGCTGGAGTGCAATGGCATGATCTCAGCTCACTGCAAACTCTACCTCCTGGGTTCAAGTGATTCTTCTGCCTCAGCCTCCTGAGTAGCTGGGGTTACAGGTGCCCACCACCACACCCAGTTAATTTTTGTATTTTTAGTACAGATAGGGTCTCACCATGTCAGCCAGGCTGGTCTCAAACTCCTGACCTCATGATCTGCCTGCCTCGGCCTCCCAAAGTGCGTCATATTCCTTTCTTAAGTAATCTTTGGTGGTTTGTTTTCTTGACAAAGCACTCCACCTACTAATTGGTAAGCTTACTATATAACGGATGTACTCTAAAAATATCTAAGTTTAAATCTACTATCTTGCTCTGAGCTTCCCTTTTGTCTCACGTGACCATTGCTTATTTTTCCCTATCTGCATAGGAATTAGTGGAAGGATTTTAAGATTCAGTCTGACCTCCAAGATGGCGTAACAGGTGTATCTCTTTATTTTTCAGTGGTAGCACTTGGGTCTGCAGCATATCACTGTAACCGATCTCAGCGAACCTTCACGTGCAGTGTAGGTACATGTAAACACCATAGTTCCACTCCCCTACTACCATTTGGTTTTTGTTTTGCTGTCAGGCACTTTAAATCTAGATTTGTTATAAATCCAACAATACATTTCTGTCATTTTTCTTATTAAAGGGTCAAAGATCTGTTAAAAAGTTTAACAAGTGAGAAAATACGTCTTTGATACGTCTGCCTGTATTTACAATTTCTGGTGCTCTTCATTTCTTTCTGTTATACAAGTTTCCATCTGGTGTAATTTTTCTTCTGCATAAATAACTTATTTTAACATTTCTTGCAGTGCAGGGCTGCTGGCAACATTTTCTCTCAGCTTCTGTTTGTCTGACAAAGACTATTTCTATTCATGTTTATAGCAGCTTTATTGAGGCATGATATATTTTAATAAAATTCTTCAAGTTTATAAATTGAGGTTGGGCACCATGTCCAGCCTTGTAATCAGCAACACAATCATACCGTAAATGTTTGTCACCTCCAAATTTTCCTACCACTCCTTTGCAGTTAATCTCTCCCATGCTACCTGGTCTAAGCAATGACTTATTTGCTTTTTACCACTATAGTGTTGCATTGTATGAAATTTAAAACTTTATGGACCTAAATTATACAATATGTAATCTTTTATGTTTTGTCCTTTCACTCAGCATCATGCTTTTGAGAATCTCCCAGGTTGTTGCATGGATAAGCCGTCTGTGTCTTTTTTTGGCTGAATAGTATTCTGTTATGTAGATAGAACTACAATGTATTCATCTCTATTGGTTTGATGGACTTTGGGTTTCTCTGCAAATGTTGACTATTTAAATAAAGCTTTTTATGAATATACAGATACAAGACTTTTGTCAAGGTACATTTTGATTTCTCTTGTTTTCATTTACTAATTGACCCATACAGTAAAAGTATGTTTAAGCTGAAAAGAAACTGCCAAATTATGTTCCAAAATGGCTCTACTACTTTGCCTTCAAAATAACAATCCGCGTGATTTCCACTGCTGCTGCACACGTTCTGCCTGGAACTCTGTGCCCCGCTCTGCACAGTGCCTTCTCCTCTGGGCTGAGCCACACAGATAGAAGACCCACAGCTGCCAGGCTCTGAGCCCTGCCTCGTCCTCCGCTCTGTGGGGTCACCGCACTCCACTGAGCTCCAGAGTTTGCCTTGAGGTAGAAAACTGTCCCCAGACCAAGAACCAGCATGAATGTGGAACTCACCTCATTAGCCTCCTTTTTCTGCAATAAATACCGTCCATCAAGTGATGACAGCATGGTACTGTCTTTGTCCAAAGTCTGAAAACAATCACTCCTTATAATTTTTTTTCCATTTTCCTGGTTGTTACAGGAGGATCTCGTCTTGCAGCAGTCATTTCTTCATAGCTGGAAGCAGAAGTAGAAAGCCCCCTTGCACGCCTTTTAAAGTATTTAAAGTACAGGGATGCATTCATAAGAGAGAGGCTGTTTTCTCTCAGTATGCATGGTGCTTCTGTATTAAGTGGTAACACACACACACAAACAAATATGACCAACACACACATCCCTTGCAGTGCAGCTTTCACAGCTCATGTGGAGAAGACTCCCAGGATCGTCTGTTCCAAGGGGCACAAGGGGCGCCACCCCACTGCTCTGACAGCTTGAGGGGAGCCAGTGTCAGCCACTGTAGCCTGGGAACATCTAAAATTATACATTTCAGGGATACTTACAGCTAGTAATGTCAGCAACATATACTGCCCTGTTTCAAAAATGACAGTAATAACACCAGAATGATAGCATTCAAAGGACAAGCCACGGAGAGGCTGAGGAAAAGTGAGTCCATGTGGAAGGGGTTGTTGATAGACAGGTGAGATTCCCATTGTCAATGCTTTAATTCAGGGTTTGCAGAATCTGGGAGTCAGACCTACTTAAACAAACAAACAAGCAAACAAGCAAACTTAGTTGTAAATATCTGCTCATACTTACAGTTACACTAGCAATAAACTGGTCATACCAGCAATAAACAGCAGACTTTATTCAACCATATTGATCTTATCTTCATGTAGATAAAGGTAGAAAAATATTGCATCATCAGTAAGAACTGGAATAGAATTAAAGTACTTGTTCATCACAAACGCTGAGCCTAACCTTACGAGTAAAACAATGAACACAGGCTCCGATGGGAATTCTGCCCAAGGAGAACTGGTATACACATTTGTCAAATTCTGTATCTTGCATATCATCTACGTCAAAGGCACATTTATCCAAACAAATTCTAGAATCAAAGAAAAGAAACCGCATTTCTCACCACATTACAAATTGAAAATATGACACATTTATTTCTGAGCAAGAAGCTGTAAAAAAATAGCCCAAGAATGGGAATCGTGAGGTGACCCAGACCATTTTACTCTAGAGTTCTGTCCCTGACACAGGATATATTTTGCTGGTGGCAATGAAGTAGCATTTACGAGTCTGCACAGCCTCTCTCACACATGTGCACGTTGGCTGGCGGTCAGCAGGGACAGTGGAGGCCCCAGCCCACAGGTTGTTTGTAATCAATCAGGCTGCCAGGTGGCTGCACTCCGGCACAGGCATGAGCAAGCCCTGTGGGGCGAGCACCGTGCACGGCTGGGTTGAAACCACAAGGGCTCTTGTCTCATCAGCCAAAGCAAGCCGAAGGCCTGAGCCCTGCCTCAGGTGGGTTACTCTGAGATCGGTGTGATTCACGTGGGACCACACTGCGTCAATCGATTATCAACAGTTCACTCTCTGGCATGACTAAGCTGCACCCCTCCCACATGCCCAGGGCTATCACCCTACCCACAGCCCCCTATGCCTCATCCTACCGTAGAATTCAGCCCAAAGTCCAGCATCTCCTCATTCACATCGTGTCCAGACATGACTCCTCAAAGTCAACCCCTAGTGATGCAGAAACCTTTGAGTTAGAATGTCAGTTTCTGTCTTTCACACACACAAAACACACTGGTGTTCTGGGGACAGCATACATGTGACAGGTGCGGCCACTGGGACGGTGAAGGAAGGCAAGGTGTGATGTAGTTCTTGTTCCGAAACACCTCTGAGATTCTGCCCAGGCAGCTGCCGTTTCCCTGTTAGCGGCGCTGGCCGTGCCCACATCAGGTCTCAGCTCTGCCCCTCGGGAGCCTCCCTTCAGACCGTCCTCTCTCAGAAGCCCTGGCGCTTCGGTCCTGCCGTGCCCTGCAAGGGGCTCCCTTCTCTGTTGCTCCCTCCAGCTCTTGGTTTCACCCACTGGGCTCTTATCATCCTCCTCCAAGGCCCTCTTCCTTTTCCACAGAAACCTCTGGCTTTGCAGATAGGGCCTCCCTCACCTTGCTTCCTGCCTGTGGAAAACCGGAGGACTCTTTGCCCTTTCATCCACCTCAGGCCCTCCCAGCACAACATCAGGTGACATTTTCTTGCACAGCACTCTTAAAAGTGTCATGAGCTTTTCATATATTGCAAGCTAGCCCTCTATGGTCAACCAAAGCCACACCCTCAGATGTTTTTGAGACATGTTTCTTTCTCAACCTCGCTTCCAGATACTTTGTGATTAAGCTTCTAAGAGACAGCACTCCTTGATTCTTAGCCCTTCCTTAGAGCTGAAGGGTCTTCTCTCTGTAGCACTTTAATCATATCAGAAGTCCTAACAAACAGTCCTACCACCCCCTAGATGTAACCTTTGGCTCCGGGCCTCATGGCACATTGAGGGCCTTTTACCAGCTGTGGATCCCATGGAGGAGAAGCAGGTTTGTTTTTCAAACTAGCAAGACCTGCCTACTGTAGGTTCCTGCAAAATACTGCATCCAAGCTGAACAATCATTTCTTGAGTTCACCTCCCTTTTTTTAATGTCCTCTCGTAAATAGCAAAAAGGAACCAACTTACACTTTCAACGTTTTGCCTGGAAATCACCTCCACAAGGTCCACACATTGATAGTACCCATTTTCTCTCACCCGAGAGACCGCTGAAGACGTGCTAATTCTCTGGCTTCAACATAACATGGGCCAGCATTTTTCCAGTTTTTCGTGTAGTTTTCTAAACAACCTCCACTGAAAACCTGCTCATTCTTTTTTCAGTTCTTTTCCCCAGCCTCTGCTCCCTACCTCATCCCAAAGCCGACGTCACATGTTTTAGTTTGTTCTGTTGTTATTGCTGTTGTTTTCAGCCTTCCTCTTCCAGGTAGTGATTTTTCCATCCACAAGCTTCTAAGTAACAAACCACTTCCAAACTTCGTGGTTTAAAACAACAACCAGGTGTTCAATTGGGCTTGAGATGAGCTGGACAGTTTTTCTCAACAGGGATCATACAGTGTCTGTGGTCACACTACAAAGTCTGTCAGGGCCCAGCCGGCCAAGGGAAATGTCACCAGGGACTGGGCAGCTCCTCTCCACCTAGTGTCTCTCTCCCCAGCAAGGCTGTCCCATCTTTCCCACAGGCTGGCAGAGATCCGTGGGCAACAGAATAAACCGTTAGACCTCCTGAGAACAAGACCCAGAGCCTCCAACAAAGCCTCCACCACAGTCAATTGGCAGAGGCAAGTCAAAGTCAAGCCCAGGTTCAAGGACTGGGGAAACTCCCAGTTCTTGCTGCTGGAGGTTGCAAAGCACCTGTCCATGTCTGTAATCTGCACCCTTCTCCCACAACAAGTCCTTGAGCACAGGACTTGGGTTGGACGGGTTATGTATGAATAAGAAACAAAGATGTTGACAGAAATGGGAAAGAATGGCCTGTTTTGAGTTCCTTGTAGAAACCCCTTTCAACAGATGCTCGCAGATCTCTCCACATCTCTCCCACCACTTCGATTTTCTCCCTTCTTTCTTCCTACTCCCTCTTCTTGCAACACCACAGGTGGAAAAATTTTGAGGAATTGGCATAATCAACGTGGTAGAGCAAGAATACAAATTTATAGGCATCCTGTTTCTCCCACTTGAATCCCTAAGAAAATCTCAACTGTGCCATCTATAGAAGAGTATCAGCCAGGCATGGTGGCTCATGTCTGTAATTCCAACACTTTGGGATGCCAAGGCAGGAGGATCACTTGAGCTCAGGAGTTCGAGACCAGCCTGGGCAACATGGCTAAACCCCATCTCTACAAAAAAAAAAAAAAAAATACATATATATATAGAAAATTAGCTGAGCATGGTGGTGTGTGCCTGTGGTCCCAGCTACTCAAGGCTGCAGTGAGTCATGATTGCATCACCACACTCCAGCCTGGACAACAAAGCCAGACCCAGTCTTGATAAATAAAAAAGAAAAAAAAAAAAGAGTATTATGACTCAGGGCACAAGCGCATTTATTTTAAAATGGCATCTGTCCAAATACTGAAATGCTTTAAAATGTCATAGAACTTAAAGCAACACATCCTTCACTTGAAAATCAAAATGTATCTTCTTGTCCTAAGCAAATCCCTGCATGATGCTGGTGATTTTCCCTGAGTCAACTTCTATGAGATACTAAAACTTGACATTCTCGCCTCTGTTTGAATGAAGAGATTAAGGAAAGTGTTGCCTGGTAACAGAGTTAGCATGTTTAATGATGGTGTTGGAGATGTTCGCACCTTGATATATTTATAGGAGGTATCCTGAATCAGGTGAAAGTATTAATTTGATGTTAAGATGGTTTTGTTTTCAATGGCTGTCAAAATTATAATGACAAACTTTACATGTTAGCTCACAAATAATAATGGCCTTTGGGACAAGCGAAGCTTCCATGAATATTTTGGGCAGTTCAGTTGACAAGTGGGTAGCTCAGGATACAGGATAGCTGCTGACACATTCACATGAGCTGCGTGCTTCGTTTCTTCTTGTCTGTTTTTCCAGTGTTCATCATATATACATAGATATAGATATAGACATTGATATCTGTGTACATACGTGTGCATAAAGAGAGAGATATGTATGGGTGTATATATCTCTCTCTTTTGTTTCTACAACAACATCCTCTTCAACTCAGACTTTTTGGACAAAAATGATGTTTGACTTGAGTGCATTTCCAGCTTCCCACTGACATCACCAAGAGAAATGAACATCCATTATTGGCAACAGGGAAGAGCAAGCCCTAAGTGTAGCCCCCTGTCTTTCCCCTCACACTCTTCTCTGATTCACAGTCCACAGTCATACTAATTTTTGTCACTGATCAGGTTGCAAAATGGTCTGGCTTTTACACATGCAACACTTTAAAAACTTGGACAGCTGAAGCCTTAAAAATACAGTGTAGCAATATGGCTTTTTTTTTTTTTTTTGACAGGGTCTCACTGTCTGCCAGGCTGGAGTGTAGTGGTGCAATCACAGCTGACTGCAGCCTCGATCTCCCAGACTCAAGTGATCCTCCTACCTCAGCCTCCCGAGTAACTGGGACTACAGGCATGGGCCACCATGTCCGGCTAATTTTTTTTCTTTTTTGTATTGTTCGTAGAAACAGATTTCACCATGTTTCCCAGGCTGGTCTTGAACTCCTGGGCTCAAGCAATCCTCCCACCTCAGCCTTTCAAAGTGCTGGGATTACAGGCATGAGTCACCGTGCCCGGATTTTTCTTTTTTTTTAGTTCACAGCATCAAAAATGCACCAGTTTGGTGACATAAAAAGGAAAAATGTAGAATGATTACATTAAATGTGACAGAAAATAAAAAGTAAAACTTCTCCCGTACATTTTACTGAATTATTTCTGCCTGGTCTTGCCAGGCTTATTAATCTTTTGACTTTATGTAGCAAATGATTCAATGTTTAAATGGCCACGAATGCTTACTGGCATCTCACGATATGTCTGAAAACACCAAATTAACTAAATCGATGACAATAAAATGAAGAAAAGGAAGAGAAATAAGCCAGGCACAGAAAGACAAATGTTGTCTGATCTCAGTTATGTTTAGAACCTACAAAAGAGGAACTCACAGAAGCAGAGTAGAATTCCCATGACCAGGGCCAGGGTTGGGGTTTGCAGGGCAGGGTGAGACCTTGGTCCAAGGGTGCAAAGTTTCAGTTATACAGGAGGAATAGGTTTAGCGATTGATTGCACAGAATGGTGACTATCATTAATAATAATGCATTGTATATTTCAAAATTACTAAAGCAGTAGATGTTAACTGTTTTTACCACAAAAAAAATGATAAGTATTTGCGGTGATGAATTTGCTAAATAACTTGATTTAATTATTCTACAATGTAAACACATCGAAACATCGCATCTTATCCCATAAATATATTACGAACAGTTAGTATCTACCAATTAAAAATTAAATTAAATTTAAATTTAAAAAATGATTCTAAAAGCCATATTTAAAAAATAAAAAAGAAGAGGATGCAATAATATTAAGATAAGGTAGAACGCTGAATCCCACGTTTATGTGAGTTTTACTTTGGAGAATTCATGCTTTATTCTATCTACATACAGTGCTGCTTCTGTTTCAATTCACAAAGTCTTGTGCTCTGAACCTGCCACCCCCCCTCCCATGGCCCAGTAGGGTTTGCCAAGATTACTCCAGGCACGCCCACAGTTTTCCTCTGACCATCAACCTTGCAAGATAGCTGGTCATGCCTTGAGAGAGACTGTGTTGGAGGCACTGAGTATATCTACCCCGGCCTCATAGGTCCTGGGTCACGACCTTAGTCTCATGACCTCCATGCCCCAAGCTGCTAACCTCAGTAACCACAGCATAACATAACACAATCATCCAGATCATTCCATCTTTAAATTCCAATTACACATAAATTACTTCCACTAAAAGATAACTGTTGCTATAATGTACATGCAGGTCTCTTAGAAAATAGATTTAAAACAAAATTTTGTTGTTATCAGCAGCCCTTTATTTTGAAAGTGGATTATTTATTTTCTTTATAAAAGACACTTTAGCATTGGGGTGATCTCAGTGACAGTTAAATATCTGTACCTTACTTCTGTACAGAAAATACAGAATCTCGTTCAATATAACACAATGCTATATTTTTCCAGGAATGAAAAGGTATTTCTTAGACAATCACAGTTTCAGTTGATAATTTTTCCCATTAAAAGCTCCTCTTGTATGTATCTCAAACATTCTCTGCAGAAAAATAAATGGGTGCTTAAGAATGACAATCAACTGATAGTACAAATCATGTGATTTCAGAATTAACTTCAAACATTAATTTGATATATTTCAGAAGCTAAAATAACCCTGAAGTAGTCAAGTTTAAAATAATTGTATAGAATTCATGGAGGGAATTTGAAATTCTAAAATATACAATTTCAGTTATAAGCCTTACATTTGCTTCTTTATAAATTTTTTAATAGGCAGCAATTCAGTATTCTCAAGGTGTCAGTTTTTCCCAGATTGATGGATAGATTTGGTGCAATCTCAATTAAAATTTCAGCAAGTTATTTTATTGACAACAATTCTGATTCTAAAGTTTATCTATAAATTTAAAAGATCCAGAAAAAACAAGCACAATACTGAAGGGAAAGAGCAAAGTCAGAGGACAGACACTATCCAGCATGGAGGCTTACTATGAAGATACAGGAATCAAGGCAGGGTGGCATTAGCAAGAGAGGGGGCACAAAGATCAATGGAGCAGAACAGAGAGCCCAGAAATAGACCCACACAAATATAGTCCATTGAACTCTGAAAAAGGATCAACGGAATTCAGAGGAGGGCAGATGGTGTCTTCAACCAACGGTGCCAGAACACATAGCTATCCACCTGCAGAAATGAATTCTAGACGCAGACTATAGGTAATTTCACAAAAATTAACTCAAAGTAGATCATGGAGCTATATGTAAAACACAAAACTCTAAAACTCCTAGAAGATAACATCAGAGAAGATCTAGGTAACCTTGGATTTGGGAATGACTTTTTAGACACAACACTAAAAATATATTCCATGAAAAAAATGATAACTTAGACTTTATTCAAATTTAAAAACTTATTCTGCAAAAGACACTAGTAAGAGAACAAAAAGATAACTCAGAGACTGGGAGAAAGTATTTCCAAATTTAAAAACTGACAAATGACTGAGAACTCTTAAAACTTATCCATGAGGAAACAAAGTAACTCAATTAAAAAATGGGCAAAATATCTGAACAGACATCTAGTACCAAAAAATATATATAAATGGCATGTAGGCATACAAAAAGATACTCCACATCATATGTCATCAAGGGAAATGCAAATTAAATGGCAATGAGATCCCACTGCATCCCTACTAGCATGGTCCAAATCCAAAACATTGACAACACCAAATGCTGACAAGGATGTGGAGCAACAGGAACTCTCAGTCGTTCTTAGTGAGAATGCAAAATGGGGCTGCTGCTTTGGAAGACAAATTGGCAGTTTCTTTAAAAACTTTTTGAAAAGTTGTGTTTTGCAAAACTTGTACCATATGATCCAGCCATCACTCTCCTTGGTATTTACTCAAATAAGTTACAAACATATGTCCACACAGAAACCTGCACATGCCTGTTTACAGCAGCTTTATTCACAATTGCCCAAACTTGGAAGCAACCAAGGTGTCCTTCAGTGGGTGAAGGGACAAGCCGTGGAGCGTCCGGGCAATGCGGTGTTATTCGGTGCTAAAAAATGAGCTATCAAGCAATAAAAGGCACAGAAAAATCTTAAATGCATATCACTAAGGGAAAGGATCCAATCTGAAAAGGCTACAGACATCACGATTCTGACTGGGGGACGTTCTAGAAAAGGCAAAACTATGGAGACAGTAAAAAGATCAGGAGTTGGGGAGGAGGGATGAACAGGCGGAGTGCAGAGGATTTTTAGGGCAGGGAAATGACTCTGTATGATGCCACAGTGGCGGGTACCTGTTATCCATCTGCCGAAACCCATAGAATGTACAACACTAGGCGCAAACCTCAATGGAACCATGGACTTTGGTGAACAATATTGTGTGTTATCATTGCCCAATCAATAGTAACAAATGTACCACACTGAGGCGAGATGTTAGTAAGGGGAGAATGTTGGGAAGCGTTCATATGGGAACTTTCTACATATTTCTCTCAACTTTTCTGAAAACCAAAACTGCTATTTTTAAAAGGACAATAGATTAAAAGGAAAACAAAAAACTCAAATTGACAGCATCAATTTTTCATCTGAGCAGCTTCTGCCTATGAATTCTCAGGCTTCTTAACGTCCAAGTCCCCCACACTGCTCCCTCGCCACCAAGAGCATGGGCCCTTGGGAGGAGCCTCCGGGGGAGGAGGTGGGGAGCCCCTCCTTGGGGCTGCTGGGGCCCCCCATAGCTGATGGTGGTGTCAGGCGGCCCTCTCTCCTCCATCCGGTACCTCTGCTGCTGCATCTGAGACCAGCAGGTGGGTTGAGGGTTTCCCCAAAACATATTTCGGTTTGAGTCACACTTGTGTTGGGATCAGTGATTATTTAATTTCTTTGTTATTTCATCTTCTTCATGCCATTGAAGTTCCATTCATCATGAAATTTTCATCCAACTAAAGAGTGAGGGACTTTCACTTTGTCCTTAGCCCCATGCGCAAAGAAAGAGTTTATTAAATACCTTTGTACAGCTCTTATTTCATATTTCTACTATGTTTGCCTTCCTGGGAAAGGAAAGAGTCAGTGTTTGGTTTTAACCTGTTAAAATGTCTGTAAGTACGAGAGTCCTCAGATAAACCAAAGGCAGGCCACAGGGGCTGGATCCAGAGGGCTTGAAGGGGGCTCCCCGCACCTGGCCCTACACTCAGCTTCCTCCTGTGTCTTCAAGTTACTTCTATTTCATAAATATAGACTGAGAAGAGGTGAGAAAAAAGGCCAACAAACCCAACCACTCAAAGTTTGCTGAAAAAAAAAAAGGTTCAACAGAAGTGTCCCTCTAAGGAGATGTCACAGCTGCTTGGACTTTAGCACCTGACTAATTGCTGTCTGGGTCCTGCTACCTCCTCTCTCCCCACCCCATGGGAGGCACCAACATGAAAGCACCGTGTGGGCGGGGAAGGGGACCGAGTCCATGAATAAGGAGCATGTTACATTGGCTCTTTCAATGTCCTTTTTAACCGTCTTGACTGCAGCAACAACCGAAGTTAAAGGTTGTTATGGCTCGACACTCTTTCCTCCCTAGTGGAAGTGCTGGTGACCTTCCACTGCTATAGCTCTGCTCAGCGTGGAATGGCCCAAGCTTATTCTGTGCCTGAAAAAATGCACCTCATCCATCACTAACCCATCACTGCTTCCAGGAGGAGCAAGTGCTGTTGCCTCAGAGTGTGCAAAGCAACTGGACACAGCTCATGGAGAAGAGCAGTAAAAACAAGGTTTTTTTTGTCTGTATATTTTTTTAAAGAGGTGGCCTTTTTTCTTTTGAGTAATGTGTTCTTGGTCCTTTGTTTTATTCACAATGAGTGGTCACTTTTCAACTTTAAACATGTTAAAGATTTAGTTGTCTTCCTAAGAATTCCAAATGTAGTTGTCCTCCTGAGGATTTCAAATCGAGACCTCAGTTTACAGCTCTACTAAGAAACAGGTCACTCTTCTATAAATCCAAATAAAAAGCATTTATGTTTTTCCTAGAGTGCAAATTTTTATGTTTATAATTACTCCACAATTTCTAAAGAAAATGTATTTTGAAAAAGAAAGTTCTTAGCTACAAATTAGAGGACACAAAACTATGAACTTGGAACAGAAACACATGAATCCATCTTACAGCTCTGCCCACCCAGGCTCCACTCACCCGTGCTCACCATTCCTTGCAGGGCCTCACTGAGAAGATCTCCGCTCCTCTGTAGACAATCAGACTAGGAAGTTTGATACTATCATTAAATATGTTCTGGCCGGGCACAGTGGCTGATGCCTGTAATCCCAGCACTTTCAGAGGCCAAGGCGGGTCTCCCAATCACGAGGGAATAGTGACCTCCTGATCACAAGGCCAGGAGTTCAAGACCAGCCTGACCAATATGGTGAAATCCGTCTCTACTAAAAATACAAAAGTTAGCCAGGCGTGGTGGCAGGCTCCTCTAATCCCAGCTACTCGGGAGGCTGAGGCAGGAGAACTGCTTGAACCCAAGCAGTGGAGGTTGCAGTGAACTGAGATCATGCCACTGCACTCCAGCCTGGGCAACAGAGCAAGACTCTATCTCAAAAAGTAAAATAACATAATAAGATGTTCCTTTTGACAGTTGTACCCACAGAGGGGGCCTCCCTTAGAAACATTTTTGGGAGAGAACCCCTTTTTTCACCAGCCTAACAGCACCACAGCACCGCATCTCCTGTGTCTACAGGGATCAGCCATCCAACACAACTTCCTGTGAACCCACTCCTTTCTCCCAGAAGAAACATGAGAGAGGGGCTTCAGCTCACACAGCCTGGACTGACAGAATCCCTCCTGTTCTGTCCTGGGTTTGTTTTCTCACCTGGACGCTGAGCTCTAAGGGGACAGAAGACTTCCCATTGATCCTAACATCCCACAGCCCTTTGGTCATTTCTAGGCTGATCCTGGCAGCCCCACAAAGGGCAGCCCACTGGGGACGCCCCCTGCATGAATGCAGAAACGTCACCTCAGCACACACGGCACACGCCAGTTACCCACCTCACAGCTACAGCTTTTAGTTTCTTTCTGGGTGAGAGACTTAAGTGAACATTTTCCAGTACGTGTGTGTTTCAATGGATGTGGGAATCACTTCGCTTTTGTCACTGTGATCCAAAAAATGCAAATCAAAGTGTGGGTGGGTTTCATAATTTGCCAGTCAACATATGTTGAGTGGGCAAGTTAGTTGGAGTATTTGAAAACTTCAAATGAATATGCTTTCTTCTTCCTTCACCCTGTCCTTATCTATCTCTCCCTTCCTGACCCCTAACCCCTTTCTATCTCCCTTTCCCTGTTTCTCTTTCTCTCTTTTTCTTTCACTCTTTTTCTCTCCTCTCTCATCCCTCCCTTGTCTTTCCCTCCCTTTCTGTGTCTCATCCCTCCATGCCCTTATATGCAGATCTAATTATTATAAATTGAGGAACACAGGTCCTCCTTTTAGGATCCCAGCTCCTGGACCCTATTTCTCTCCCTCTCCCTCTCTTTCTCTTTCTCTCTTCCTCTTCCTCTCTCTTTCTCTGTCTCTCTTTTCCTCTTCCTCCCTCTCCTCTCTCTTGTCCCTCTCTTCTCTCTCTCACATCACTCCATGCCCTATGCGCATATCTAATTATTATAGACTGAGCAACACAGGTCCTGTTTTAGGATCCCAGCTCCTGGAGCCTTCCCTCTCTCTCTCTCTTTCTCTTTCTCCCTTTTCCTCTTCCTCCCTTTCCTCTCTCTTGCCCCTCTCTTCTCTCTCTCATCACTTGCACCCTATGTGCAGATCTAATTATTATAGACTGAGCAATTCGGATCCTGTTCTAGCAGCCCAGCTCCTGGATCCCACCATCACTCAGCATGATAGCATGCAGGCTAGGGTGCCCACTGCCCTGAGCAGCCCAGCCCATCCATTGTTTACCCTGGTTATCAACTGCAGACTCTAAAGTACTCTTGGCTTCTGAGCTGTAAATCATGAAATGGAATAATATCTAGGCTGAAGGGGAAAAACAAATTGAGATCAATCCTACAGAAGAGTACAAACTAATAACACTCGTTGTCTCTTTGGAGAATTGGAATGAGATGTTATCACAGGAGGTTGTTGACAACGTTATGACAACGCAATTTCCACCCTAATCTGGGGGCACTGTTCCCATGGGACAGAACTGAAGTTTCTTTCATTTACATGTGGGTCAAACACTCAATTGATTTTTAACTGTCCTTTTTATTGTTTTTCAATATAAAAGAAAACATCCAATTTTAGGGGATTGGTTCCCACAGGCAAGCTCTTCAGAGCATAAAATCACAGGGTTCAGCCCCAGTGGTGTGTTTCCTGCCTGCCCGTGCATCAGACTCTGCTAACATGTGGGCTGTGAGCAGGTGGTACAGGCCAGTGAGCGAAGATGCTGGGGGGAGCCCAGGACAGGGGTTGGCCAGGACCACTGAGGCTCTGCTATGAGCCTATCCCACGTGGACTCTCTCTGCCACTTTCCCTGCTTTCTTTCTTGTGGAAAAGGCCCATTTGTTCACTCTCTGAGGTCAGGAGTGTGACAAGTTTTCACAAGTCATCAGTCATTTGTACTGGAGTGAGAACTGTGTTTATCAGAATCACCCAGCTTGCGTGGGATATTCTGGCTGGGGCCGAGGGAATAAGAAAGCATCCCTTGAGCAGTAGTCCTCAGTGATCCCCCCAGGGCCCAGGGCCACCTGGAGATGCTTGTGACAGCCACAGATCCCTGGAGCAGATCCCTTGAGCAGTGGTCCTCAATGATCTCCCCACTGCTCAGGGCCACCTGGAGTTGCTTATGACAGACACAGAGTCCTGGAGTAGTCACGGATCCCTTGAGCAGTGGTCCTCAGTGATCCCCCCATGGCCCAGGACCACCTGGAGACGCTCATGACAGCCACAGATCCCTGGAGTAGTCACGGATCCCTTGGGCAGAGGTTCTCAAATATCCCCTCACTGTCCAGAGCCACCTGGAGACACTTGTTACATCCACAGAGTCCTGGGCTTCACGCCAGGAACTGTACCCATGAGCAAGATCTGATGGACTTAAAATACCCCCGAATGTCTTATTATTGATCCAAGATACTGTGTTCCCTTAAGTCATCAAAACCTAGTGGGGCCTTGTGCAGAAGCACAAGGAGATATCCGCAGCACAGCCTGAAGTGGGAAGCACCCAGACCGAGGCAGAGGAATAGGGCTCAGGAAGCACAGCCACCGTGGGCCCCAGGATGATGGCCCACGCTCAACACCCACATCTCACATGGATGCAGGATCCACTCCGAATGGCGTTGAGATCTAGCACATGAGGACGAATGCAAGAATTCTTGGCATCATCAAAGCTGGAGATCAGTCATATCTGGGCTCTGGTGCTAGGCACGCTCTACTGTCCACATTTGCTTCTCAGGCACTTCATACACCAGCCAGAGACTGGAGGAAAAGGGTCCCTGGGAAGGGCTGGTGAGTATTTGACAAATCCAGTTCCAGACACAAGCCCAGTGTCGACTCAGGTGCCCCAAATCGAGGATGGGGCCGACTACAGACCGGAACCCCTCGGGGACTTTCAGAAGAGGATTGCAACCTGGGAGTCCTGCGGGTGCACATGCTCACGGTGGGGATGACTGTTCGGATGGGAAGATTTCTTTTCTCTGACTTCTACCCGTTAAGAGCTGTATTCCTGGGGTGGCCTCTTCATTTTACCAGGATTAACTCGGGAAGGAATTTGACCTAAGTGCCTGCTCCTTGGTGACTGGGAGGAGGTGAGCCTGGGCCCCTGAGTCCTCTCTGCAGGTTGATTCTCACCATTAGTCCATAGAACGTTACTGTTTAATCTCATTTTCTTCTGCTGCCTTAACCAATCACCACCAACTTGTCAGCTTCAAACCGCAGAGCTTTATCGTCTCTCACTGTTCTATAGATTGGAAGTCAGTGTGGGCTCCGCTGTGTCCTCGGCACAGGATCTCATGGGCTGAGCTCAAGTCTCCTGCAGGGCTGCATTATTTACCAGAGACTCCAGGGAAGGAGGCGCTCCCCAGGGTGCTGGCTGAATTCAGTTCTTGTAGCAGTGGGACTGAGTCCCTGCCTCCTCTGGTCCATCCCATCCTCTGATTTGGGTATCCTCCGTGTCCTCAGCCGGGTACTGCTTTCTCCAGTGTGTCCTGTCCTCTGATACAGGCACCATTTCCTCAGCCAGGACTGGTCTTTTCCTCTAGAGGCCCCCACATTCCCCATCAGTTTCCACGTGGCCCCTGCTGCAATGTCAGGTCAAGAGCCTCTCCCATGTGGACTCTCTGTGCCCCTTTCCCTGCCTTTGGCCCAGGGAAACTGTCTGCTTTCAAAGGCCCCTGTGGTTAAATAGGGCCCACCTGAATAACCCAAGACAATCTATTTTCAGGTTCCATAGTCCTATGGACAGCTGCAAAGACCCTTTTGCCACACAAGGCGACAGCACGTGCAGATCGCAGGGACTGGGGTGATGTCGTCGGGCATCCCACTTCCCACACCCTGCAGTGATGGACCTGTCACTGCATGAGCCATACCTCCATCTCAGGAAGTGTCTGTGGTTGGGCTGCAAGAGAGAAACACGCCCTGGTCCTTGAGAGGCCACGCAGCAGGTCTCTGATGGAGTCCAGGAATCTGGACAGTTGGCCTATGTGTCCATGGATTCTACAAGAGCCATTGCCCATATTTCGACACGAACGGCATTAAAATATCTTGGGAGAAGTGGGTGCCTTGTGGAAATACTTGGAAATAATTGAGGAGGCGCAGATTGAGGTAGAAAAATTTTATGCCATCTGATTAAAGATGAATGCACCAAGAGGGACTTTGTTCTCCCAAGGATTGGGGACAGCCTGAGTTAAATTCCTGAAAATGTAAGTCGTATGTCCACTGTCAACAACAGTGGGTGTCTCTGCTGCTCCTGGTGAACAAAAATGAGGTGGCAAGGAGGAGCATTTTGGGTGGTCAGGTGGCACCTTGGTTGGCATTGGGATGAATTTCTGTGAAAAGAAGAAAAGGTCATGTTCATTTACCAAAACGGATTTTTAATAGGAAAGGTAAAAATAAACTTATGTTTTCATTAGCATCTATCTTAAATGTCAAATGTCTCAAAAATCATCCCCTGACAAGAATACATTAGTGATACATAATAACTTAATGCATTCTAGAAACTCAGGACAAAGACCTTTGAGGAGAGACATTTCTGAGGATTTTGGTCTTGTTTTTATCACACTTGCTAAAAGTCTAGGATAAGAAGCTTGAGCTGACTAAATGTAAAAAGACCTCTCAGTACAGCAGGGAAAAGTAAAATGTAAATTGTGTAATTGCATATAGGGGATGAACTTTAAATGAATGGAAATTTTACCATGCTATGGTGTAGTATTTATGTACAGTGAAGTATTTATGTACATGGTAGTATTGATGCAGTATTCATGTACATTGTAGTATTTACATAGTAAGTACATTGTAGTATTGATGGAGCATTTATGTAGTATTTATGTACATTGTAGCATTTATGTACATTGCAGTATTTATGTAGTATTTATGCACATTGCAGTATTTATGTGGTATTTATGTACATTGCAGTATTTATGTAGTATTTACATACATTGCACTGTTTATGTAGTATTTATGTACACTGTAGTATTTATGTGCACTGCAGTATTTATGTACATTTTAGTATTTATTTATGTACATTGACAAAGGCTCTCTCCTCGACCAAACTTTAGTCTGGATCCTCTGTGTTCTCTTCTCATTGTGACTTTGACCTTGGACCTTCTTGTGTGTCCTTACTGAGCCCAGTTTTGGCAACAATTCTGCTAGGTCTGTGTAGGGAGAATCACCCTATTCTGGAAGCCTCCTCTTGGTAATTTTTCATGCCCAGAGCCCACACTCTGCTTCTTGACTGTAAATCCCCACTTGTTCTTAGTGTGTTTGGAATTTAGTTTGATATTTTTCCCATTGCAGTAGTCTACAATAAAGTCTTCCTTACCATTTTAACAACTGCCAGAGCTTTTTTTTTTTTCATTTAAAAGCATTATATGGTGTGGATTTACATGCATATATTGCAGTTGGAATATTTCTTTATAAATAAAATGAAGTAGGCTGATTACAATGAATATTTTTTTCATTAAGCTGGTTTTAACTGTTTGTCCTTCACTAGAGAACTTTCACAATTACAGGAGGTTATTAAATAATAGCCATGTTTGGACTTGATGTCATATAAGTCAAATCAATCTCATCTCACTTTTAGAAACAACCATTAAACCGAAAAGGAAACATTTATCTTTGCAAAAAGTCAAGCACCACATCCCATTCACTTTATGATATAGACAATGAATAAAGAGAGGAGTCAAAAAGTATTCTCTGAAATTATAGGTATATAATTTATGTAAGTGCATAATTATATATATATATATATGTTTATGTGCATGCATACATATTATATTTAGTTAGTTATATTGGTATTTCCCTATATCCACTGTTGAGGAATTTCAAACAAGAAATTTGGAAAGAGATGATACAAGAGAGGAAAAAATACTTTCTCATGAAACATTTTATTTTATTTACACATTTTTTGTTTGTAAAAATTTATGGACTACATGTGCAATTTGGTTATATTGATGGATTATGTAGTGGATGGATTATTAAATAAACTAATCAATCTTCTACTAGAGTCCTAGCTAAAAGTAAAAATAGAAAAAAGCACTGGCACTTCCTACCACTTCATGGATGCAGAATGGCTCAGAGCATGAGTAACTCTTCAGCAAGCTACCCAGGCATCCTGGGGAGAGGAAGACCTGAGGAAGCCCCAAAGCAGACAGAAAAAAAACAACAAAAACCTCGGAGAAAGAAGTGTATTTCCACATTCAACTGGCTTTGCATGCATCCAGGCAAGTGTGGATGTATTTTGGGAAGGGTTATTGTTAAAATTAGCTGGGTGAAATTGAAAAAACGCCAAAGGCGGAGTGGAAATTGGAGTTGAAAGTCTAACTAGTTCCTGAATCCACTGGACAAATGCGGGCAAGTTCCTGAAGTGTTCTGGGCTTGGTTCCTTATTTTCAAACCAGAGAAGATGAAGCCGCCTTCATATGGCCATCCTGGGAATTAAATGAAGTTGCGTGTGGAGAAACTCATCATGCACAGGGCTTGTATATAAAACACTAAATAAACATCAGTGATTCAGTCTCTAAATCTTTACTTCCCTCTTCATTACCTGTCCATATCATTGCACAGTCGTCCCACAATATCCATGAAGAACTGGTTCCAGGACCTCCCACAGATACCAAAACCCTCGGATGCTCAAGTCCCTTATTGAACATTATGGAGTATTTGCAGATAACCTACAAACATCCTCCCACATACTGTAAATCATTTCTAGATTATCTATGATATTGAATACAATGTAAGAGCTATGTAAAAAGTTGTCATATCATATAGTTTAGGAAATAATGACCAAAAACACATCTGTACATGTTCAGTACAGACTCAGTTTTTTTTTTCCCAAACATTTTTGATTTGTGGTTAGTTGAAGCCACAGATATGGAGCCCATGAATATTGAAGGTCGGCTGTACACAGACGAACCTCAGAGATATGATGGGTTTGGTTCCAGAACATCACAAGAAAGCGAACATCACAACAAAGCAAGTCACATAATTTTTTTGGATTTCTTGTGCATCTAAAAGTTATGTTTACACCATACCGTAGTCTATTAAGTATGCAAGAACATTATGTCTAGAAAAAGTGCATATCTTCACTAAAAAATACTTTATTGCCCCCAAAATGCTAAGGATCATCTGAGCCTTCACGAGCCATGATCACTCACTGGTGAAGGGTCCTGCCTCTATGGTGATGACAGCTGACTGAACAGGGTGGCGGTTATGAAGGGTGGCGTGGCTGTGGCAATTTCTTAAAATAAGACAGTGAAGTTAGGGGCATCAACTGACTCTTCCTTTCATGAGACATTTCCTGTGGCATGTGATGCTGTTGATATCCTTTTACCCACAGTAGGACTTCTTTCAAAATTGCAGTTAATCCTCTCTATCTCTGCTGCTTCTTTATCAACTAAGGGTATGTAATATTCTCAATCCTTTGTTCTCATTTCAACAATGTTTACAGCATCTTCACCAGGGGTACATTCCTACTCAAAAAACCACTTTCTTTCCTCATCCTTAAGAAGCAATTCTGTGTCCATTCAAGTTTCCTCATGAGATTGCAATTCAGTCCCATCTTCAGGCTCCACTTCTAATTCCAGTTCTCTTGCTATTTCCACCACTTCTGCAGTTATTCCCTCCACCAAAGTGTTCAATCCCTCACACTCATCTACGAGGGTTGAAAATTAGCTTCTTCAAAACTTCTGATAATGTTGATATTTGGACTTTGTTCTATAAATAACTAGTGTTACTAATGGCACCTAGGAGAATGAGTCCTTTCCAGAAAGTTTTCAATTTACTTTGCCTAGATCCATCAGAGGACTCACTGTCTATGGCTACTATAGCCTTTCGAAATGTATTCCCCCCCATTTTTTTTTTTGAGACAGTCTCACTCTGTCTCCCAGGCTAGAGTGCACTGGCGTAGTCTCAGCTCACTGCAACCTCCACTCCCGTATTCAAGCAATTCTCCTGCCTCAGTTGCCTGAGTAGCTGGAATTGCAGGTGCCCACCACCACGCCTGTCTAATTTTTGTATTGTTAGTAGAGATGGGGTTTCACCATATTGGTCAAGCTGGTCTTGAACTCCTGACCTCAGGTGATCCACCCACCTTGGCATCCCCATGTGCTGGGATTACAGACATGAGCCACCACGCCCAGCCTGAAATGTATTTCTTAACTCATAAGACTTGAAAGTCAAAATGACTCCTTGATCCCTGGGCTGCAGAATGGAAGTTGTGTTACCAGGCACATGAATGCAAACAGCATTATCTCCTTGCACATCTCCATCAGGGCTCCTGGGTGACCAGGTGCCTTGTCAATGAGCAGTAACAATTTGAATGGAAGCTTTTTTCTGAGCAGTAGGTCTCAACAGTGGGCTTAAAATATTGGGTAAACCATGCTGTAAACTGATGTGCTGTCATCCAAACTTTGTTGTTCCATTTCTAGAGCACAGGCAGAGTAGATTTAGCATAATTTTTAAGGGCCCTATGACTTTCGGAGTCGTAAATAAATATTGGCTTCAAGTTAAAGTCACCAGCTATATTAGCCCCTAACAAGAGGGTCAGCCTGTCCTTTGAAGTTTTGAAGCAAGACATTGACTTCTCATCTCTAGCTCTGAAAGTTCGAGATGGCATTTTCTTTCCAATAGAAGGCTATTTCATCTACATTTAAAACCTGTTGTTTAGAGTAGCCACTTTTATCAATGATCTTAGCTAGATCTGGAGGACTTGCTGCAGCTTCTCCATCAGCCCATGCAGCTTCCGTTTGCACTTTTACGTTACACTGTGGCTTCTTTCCTTCAACCTCACAGCTTCAAACTTCTCTTCTGCAGTTTCCTCACCTTTCTCAGCCTCTGCAGAATCGAAGAGAGTCACGGCCTTGCTCTGAATTAGGCTTCCACTTAAAGGAATGCTGTGGCTGGTTTGATCTTGTATTAGATCTCCATCTCAGCAATGAGGTTGTTTCACTTCTTATCATCTGTATGTTCGCTGGTGTAGTACTTCTAACTTCTTCAAGAACTTGTTCTTTGCATTGGCCGCTTGGCTGTTTGGCACAAGAGGCCTAGCTCTTGCTCTGTCTCAATTTTCAACATGCCTTCCTCACTAAGATTAATCATTTCTAGCTTTGCATTTAAAGGAAGAGAAGTGTAAATTTTTCTTTTACTTGTGCAGTTAGAGTTCATTGTAGGGTTACTGACTGGGGTCGACTTTTAATATTGTTGTATTTCAGGGAATAAGGAGGCCTGAAGAGACAGAGGAAGACGGGAGAATGGCGGGTCAGTGGAGCAGTCAGAAGACACATCTATCCATGGAGTTTGCCACCTTCTATGGACATGGTCTGTGGTGCCCCAAAACAATTACAGCAGTGGCATCAAACATCACTGACCACAGAGCACTAAACCAGATATAATAATAATGAAAAACTTCAGAACATTGGGAGAATTATCAAAACGTGACATGGAGACCCGAAGTGAGCACACACTGTGGGAAAATGGCACTGATAAACTTGCACAGTGCAGGGTTGCCATGAACCTTCAATTTGTAAGAAACACATGATCTGTGAAGTGCCGTGAAGTAAAGCTCCATAAATCAAGGTGTGTCCGTACTTGTCACATCGTCCTGATTGTACAACCTTTTGCTGAATTCACCTCCTCAACATGAACGTTCTTTTATGAGACAAAGACCACAACAGGGTCTTTCTCTGATATGAAACATCAAGGTCTTTATCCAGATTGAAAGACTTTGCTGGCATCACGGTGGATGGAGGACCTGGGAAACTCCCCATCCAGATGGGATAGTGAGAGACAGGGGATCTCTGAGGCCTCTGTGCTCCTGACAGCAACGATGTCCTTGGTGTGTCACTGGGGGGAAAAGCCTCAGCTGTTGGGTGGAGGGATCTGGGCCAATGCCAGCTTCTCTATTTAGTTTAATCTGGCCTTGGTCAAATTCCTGCACAGCTTCAAATTATCAGGTGTCTTCAAACTTTAGTTTCCTCATTTGTAAAATGGAGTTTATACTATTATTTGTCAGTATAAACATTAAATAGGGTAATTCAAGTCAAACTCCCTACACAATCAAAATTGTCAGTACAATGCATTAACTACCAGCAGAGCTATTGACTGATGATCTTGTGTAGACTGCCTTATGCCAGGTGCTTTCCACTCTCTCACTAAGTTCCGACCATTCTTGAGACGGGCATTATCATCTCCATTGTAAAGGATAAAGAAAATGGAATACAGGACAATTAAGGCAAAAAAAAAAATCCCAATTTGCACAGCAGGAAATCACCTTGGATCCAATCCTGCCTCATCCCTGGTGCTGCTTGTTAAGTATTCTAGCTCTCTGAACATTGAGACGGTTGTATCAAAGCTCCTCACCATGTCTCAGTGCTTCCACCTATGAAATATGAGTGGACATGGGTTCTGTGCAGTCTGTGCCTCTGTCAAACTGTTTCCCAGGGTAAGGACAGGCAGGGAAGACGTGGGCCAATGTGACCAGAACGCATTGAGCAGGTGGGGCTGCGCATTTCTGTGGCATCACAGGTGCAGTCCAGGAGTCCATGCTCCTCTTGCATAATACTCTACCCTTGATCAAAGATGGACCACGTTGTTGTCTTTATTATTTACACCAATAAATGATGATCAATTATGCCCAGTTACTAATAATATACTGCTTATTTTGCAAACCTCTCTATGCTTAGTAATTAGTGGTTTAGAAGGAGTGAAGTTTCTACATAACATAAATAGTTTTTGTATTCCTAAAATAGTGTCTGTAGATTGTTCCTCCTTAGAAAGTGATTGGTGGCTGAAACTAAATGTATATTTGATTATTTGAAGTAGATGTGATTTCTCAGGGCAGAGTTCTTTAGATTTAACTTCAGAAACCCTAGTAATTTGTTTTTATGAGTGCACCTCTGTTATAAATTTAGTCTTGAATTGTTTGTTCTAAAAAGCCAAATTCAGAAATGAAATTGAGCCTGCATGAGTCAGTTACAGGTAAATTGCAGTTTTCATGTAACTGAATCATAATGCAATGAAACTCAGTAAAGGCATTAAACAGTTACAGGATAAACTAATCAGATAACTAATCCAATCATCCTAGCAAGGATTCAACAGTTAATATGATGGAGACACCTTATGTCATGATTAAATGTAGCAGGCCAAAAGAAAGTTATTAAATAGAAAACAACTAATTGCATGCAAAACAACCACCATTCCTGCTATGTTTAGAATATGTATTAATTTGTTAACTATTGATTAATACACACACAGACACACACAAAACTTTTTTACTTCTCCTTGTAAATCAAATGATTCAGACACCAATTGTATTACCTACAAAAAAAGCAAGAAGGCCCCATATTTTCTTGTGTACTTTGGTTTATCTTGCATAATTTATGTGTTCCTGGACAAGAACCATGCAGTATTCCTGCTGCTATGTGGGGGGAACAAGAAGCAACCACATGAAAACAGAAGACGAAGCAAAGAGAAAGCCTCTTCTTTTGTTCAGCAACACTAAACATGAAACTATGGAGCCGTGCAAAAGTAGAAGCTACAGAATCAATGGAAACCAAGAGTGTACAGGATTCTGAAGTATACATGCCAAAGATCCAAATGAATCTTTTCACAGATAGCAATAGCCGTGCAGTCATGGCTTGTGCAATGCTGTCAAATATAACTCACTTTAAGTTGGTATTAAAGAAATGGATTGTGTACTGAAGAGGGAAGCAGGAGGGAAGCTGATATTCCGAGATCTTCCCAGCTGCTCACAGAGGTGTGTGAAACTATTACGCATCCTTTGAAGTGGAGGAGATTAAGGGGACGGCTCATTGTGGGGAAGAAATTTCTACTTGGAACAGAGGGCACAGAAGGACCCGCAAAGCTATTTGAGATAAGACGGAAGGGTGTGGCAAAGGAACCTAAGACCCTCTATCTTTAAAAATAAAATTTTGTGGAATTTTTATTGTCCCATGGACTATATGTAAATACTATTTCTGAGAACTTTCTGATTCAATAATTGAATAAAATGACTCTGGCACCATGTGTCATCTGCCTCATGTTAATTCCAGTTATCTGCCATCCCCTCTTGGCTCAATCCACAATATTTATTGAACAACCCTCCTCGGCATGGGACTGTGAAGGTGCCGTGCAAGGTGGAGATGAAGTGGCAAGGTGCCTCTCCTCTCAGTGAATTTCCATAATAACTGGAATGCCCTCTGCCACTGGCCAGCCAGGTTCAGAAACAAGCGTGCAGTGCCTGCCTCTGAATAGAAATGGCAGGAAGCCAAACCCTCCCAGGAGGAGGTGACTGGGATGCTAGACCACATTTTTACAGGGCTTTTGGCTTCCCACAACCCTGTTTCCATACACACCGTTGTCTAAAAAGCAACAGTTAAGAAATGAAGAGTGCCATTGCTCAGTGTTTGCTGTTGTCAAGGGATGGGATACGCAGCTGAAGCAGGCCAGGCTCATCACTAACCAGCTCATTAAACACTTTCTGGATGTGATACAATTCCACATGTTCTGCTGGGCAGGGGTGACATTTTACAAAGTCTGAGGTGTTTTGATTTGGAACATCTCAGCAGCCAAGTCAGGTGTTCTTCCCTGATTCAAGCTATCTCAATACAGCCAATAAATATGAGCCACAGTTCAGAGACAGGTAGGTCAATGGATATATAGATGATAAAGAGATGAAGGATAGAGGCATAGATTGATACATAGATAGATAGACGATATCTAAATAGTAGACAGATAGATACATAGAGAGATGAGATAGGTGTTAGGTAGATGGATAGACATTAGATTGCTTAGATGACACAGATGATAGATAAATAGATCATAGATAGCTACATAGATACATAGATGAGATAGATAAATAGATGTTAAGTAGATGGAAAGATGATAGGTTAGATGGATGACAGATGAATAGATAGAAAATGATGGATAGATAGATGTTAGGCTAGATAGATAGATAAATAGAAATGATAGATAATAGATGATTGATAGATTATAGATATATGGATAGAGATGATAGATAGATAGATGATAGGCAATAGATAGATAGATATGATAGACTTATAGGTTACAGATTAGAGAGAAGACAGATAAATGTGACATACATAGCTTACATGTAGATCAGAGATTAGAATGATTCTTTCTTGTTTTTGAGGGTGAACTATCACTATACTGAAGATTCTAATTTTATCTGTAATATTTTACTTATTTTATTAAAATTGTAAGGCCAATATGACATAATATTAATAATTGTGGTTTCAGGGAGGGAGGCATTTGGCTGTTTATGGCATTATCTCTTTTTCTCCCCTTTTACAATTGTAGTTACCTACCATTTTACAATTTTTAAACAAATTTAATGATTTTCCCAATTTAACTTTTCACATCTGCTAGTGGTTAAGGTAGTTTCTTCTGCTGTACATAAAGGAAGAGCTTTTCTAGGAAGGACATTTGTAGAGAGCTTTCCTTCCCAGCCATATGAGTTTTCCACCAGAAAGCTCCCCGCTTCAAGCACTTTAGGAGGAAAAGTCTCCACGGCAGTGAAGGGTGTGGGAAAGGATAAAGAGGAGGCTCGGTTTCAGAGAAGCCACAGCCTCCACGCGTCTAGCGTCTGATTGAAGTCTGGTCTGAGGCTGAGAGCACACCCATATAAATTCCTTGGTTCTGTCTTGGAGGAAGGAGAGACCCTGAGAGGTGCCCGGCGCTGTCCTCTGGCCACTGGCTCATCAGCTTGTGGCATCGCCCGAGACCCCAGCCCGCCCCTCTGTGCCCTGACTGCACAGCTGTCTCTGCTGTGACCCTGCCCAAGAGACTGAGCAATAAACCAACTTGGACCTAGAAAGACGGTGCAGGAAATGGGCTTCAATTCACTAGAGTGCTTCAGAGCTTCCTGGATTTTACTGTTTTGAAAACGTTTGTTTAACATTGGCCCAGGGTACTAAGGCTGCAGGTGCCAATTTTATGAATCAGATAAATTCTCACTTGTTCACTGCAGTTGTAGACATTTTCCCCCACAGACGCTGCAGCTCCCAGCTTCATTAGTAAACACCAAACATTGGAGAATCAGGTTCTGCAGGAGGGTGGCCGAGCGCTTTGCCCAACCGCAAGCCTCACGCATGCACAGACACATTCATTATTGATGACACCAACCATCCTGGAATATGCAACGTGGCCTTTCTGTTTGATTGATTGTTTCATTTTGTTCAGATATGTGGCTGTTTCTAGGTGGCAGGGGATACTTCCATCAGAAAGGCAGAGCAATTGGGGTTCTGGAGTCAGACATGGCATCTGGAGTCACACTCGAAAAATAGGTGCCTCTGGCAACTAGCTTATGCCTCCCAGCCTCAGTTTTCTCACCTGCAAAATGAGTAGGGTAATATTCTCCACCACGCATGGTTATGTTCTCCTGCAAGTCCTTAGCATGGTGCCTGACATGTAGTAATAAAAATCCAATATGTGTTAACGTTTGGGCATTGCAGCAGCAAAAATGGTTGTGTAAGCAGTGGTCATGGCAGTGTTCTTCCTGTGTGTAACCGGGAGAACAAAATCACAAGGGAAGGAGCCTCCGGAGTGGCAGAGGGGAAGAGCTCCCAGGGGAAAACGCAGCATCATGCGAATGCTCTGTTCAGGCCAGGCAGCGGGGGGACTTGGACAGCAGGAAGCTGGGAGCTGGGGCCAAGCCCTGTGATAAACGAGTGTATTTACTCTTTTTGTTCACACACTAAACTGCATATTTCCCGCTCAGATTGAGGCTTTCAAATGTGGCAACTAATTTCCCCTTAATAGGAAGGATAGAACACTATATTCAAGAAGTTAACGTTTCATCTTAAACCCTCAGATATTTCACAAACCTTTTCATTTCTTTTCTTTTCTGTTTTCAGACAGGGTCTCATTCTCTCCCCCAGGCTGGAGTGCAGTGGTGGGATCACAGCTCACTGCAGCCTCTAACTCCTGGGCTCAAGCCATCCTCCCACCTTAACCTCCCTAATAGCTGAGACTACAGATGTGTGCCACCACATCTGGCTAATTTTCATTTTTATTTTTTGTAGAGACAGGTCTTGCTATGTTGCCCAGGCTGCTCTTGAACTCCAGACCTCAAGCAATCCTGCCACCTTGGCCTCCCAAAATTCTGGGATTACAGGCATGAGCCACTGCACCCAACCCCTTTCCTATTCATATCTCCTGGTGATGGGGGGGTTCTTACAGCATCAGCTTGTGTGTGGAAGCTTCCCATTGTAATATAATCAGCAAATGGACAGGAAGGAGGAAAGCCTCTATTTTATGACTAAGCAGACATAATGAGGAATTCAAAACAGCAAGTTCTGAATTCATGGCAATGAGTGGACAATCCCCCAACAAAATATGCTGTTGAGTTTCAGGGTCCACCTCTTTTCTCCTCCAAAACTGCTGTCTTTCTTACCTAAGCATTAAGATTTCAAAATGAGAAAGCACCTTTGGAAATGGTGGGAAAACAAGCCACAGCCTGAGTGTGGGCTCACAGGCATTATGGTATAGAAAGGTTAGATCCTCACGAGTATTTAGCCTGAAATTATATTTTGTTTTCCCACAACCTTTTGAAAAGAGGAGCGATAGTGACCTGGAATGCTTCCAGAATATGATACAACAGCTCAATCTCTGAATGTAAGACCACATGAGATGAACAACATGAAAAAAAAAAATTTAGAAATGTCAGGTGGAACATGACTCTTGATGTGACATATTCGAAAGACAATCACGGAAATGGGAAACCAGGCCTGGTCTATGTGGCCATGGAGCAGACTTGACCTGCACCCATGACGAAGACTCAGTCTGGCGTTTTCCTGGCTTGTGCTTTTTACTAAAATCCTGCTCGGCAGATACACACAAGCATGTTTGCCTATGCAGCGGCCCCAGAGACTGAGTTAATATGAAGAGACTGCACAGCCACAGCTATGCCCTTTTAGAGAATAAGAGGACGACAGGAGGCAGCTTATGTTAAAGCTTGCTGACTCTGAAAGGAAAATAAAAGTCCTCCTCACTCTTCTCTGCCTCTGATGGGGACAGCTGTCCTGTCTGTGCCCCTAGGAAGTTCACTCACCTGGTAATGAATCTTACGCCACATCATTTTGTCTGAGGGAGAAAAGCCTTGAGCCAGAATAATCCTTTCCTTCAATACAGAATATTAAGAATGGGGCAAGTAGAAGAACTTTTGAGTGAAGATGCCTCCTCTCTGAGACTGCAGAATTCTGGGGAGGAGGTTGAATAGAAAAACAAAGTGGCGCTGGGTACGGGCGTTCGGCTTGTAGAGCTCAGATGTGTCCACACACCTGTGTTTATGGGAATCTCTAGGAAGATGAACCACAGGCCTCATAAATATCTGTTTCATGGCGAACTAGCTTTTCAGAGGAAGGTGTCATTAGGAGCAAGTTGCTAAACAGTGCTTGCATATGGTTAAGGCTGGGAAGCAGGATATGCCCTTTTTGTTACAAAATAACTATTCCAAATGAAACAGCCACAGCCCTCTAAGACCCCACTGTCCTAGGTTAAATCATCAAAAATTCATTCAGTTTTCTATTTTGCTTTTTTTCCTAAAGGATTGTCGTATTCCACACTTACACAGAGGCCTTCCTTGGCCTGGTGTGCCGCCAATTTTTTTTTTTTCTTTTTTTAACAGTTAGCAGGGAGGTCGTCCTTGTGGTGCCAACGATGGCATCCAGGGCTGTAATTTTTCCAAATTACTGGTTTTGTTTAGCAGAATGGAGTTGGCTATCCATAGCAATCCCTGACAGCATTGTGCGGTATGTTTAGACCTGCAAAGCAATTAGGAGAATCTCAGAGGACACCCCACGCACAGCTGATTTTCCTGTGAAAGCCAAGCCGGTATATCAGAGCCGTGCAATGGAGAAGAGCTTTCCAGCCTTCAGCTTTAAAACTCACTGGCATGTGTTTTTTCAGTTCACCTTGGAGGGCTGGGCTGTCCTCCCACCACAGGCACCTTGAGTGGGTCCTGAGCCACTTGCCCTGTTGGCCCTGAAGCTCAGCTCTCAGGACAGGGGCACACTGGCACCCACTCCCCCTGGTGCTGTCAGGCCCTGGTGGACGTGAATGGCATTCACCTGCCACAGGCTGCCTCCTCTTCACAGACCAACTCGTCTTCACTCGTCAAATTCCTGCTAACTCTTCGGGATCCAATTCAAATATTACCTATGTGATAAACTGATCCAAATTTTACCAAAGAAAAAGTCAATTGCTTATTTCCATTATATTTGATAAACATATCCCCATTAGCACATCCTTTTCTCGGGGTATTTATTTACGTTTCTGACTACGCTGTTTAGATGGTTGTTCCTCCAGCACAACTGCAAACTTTTAAATCTGCTGCCACCTGCCCTAAAGCTCCACACAATGCCTACATTTCAGGGTACAGGAAAGGTTTATAGTAAATTTTTGGATGCATCCCCTGGCTTAAATTGACTTTATGTCTGCGACGTTTTCAATGTGCCTGTGGTATCTTCTTTGAAATTAGGAATGGCATCTATGTCACTCATGTAGATTATACTCACATAGAAAATGCAACTGATGAAAATAATGTGAATTTCCTTGTTTTCCAAGAAGATGAACTCTGACAGGAAAGGCTTCCTTCAAATTATTTATTTATTTATCTATCTATTTTGGGAGACAGAGTCTCGCTCTGTCACCCAGGCTGGAGTGCAGTGGCGCAATCTTGGCTCCTGAGTTCCTGCAACCTCCACCTCCTGAGTTCAAGCAATTCTACTGCCTCAGCCTCCAAAGTAGTTGGGACTACAGGCACATGTCACCATGCCCGGCTGATTTTTTGTATTTAGTAGAGATGGGGTTTCACCATTTTGCCCTGGCTGGTCTCGATTTCCTCAGCTCAGGCAATCTGCCCACCTCAGCCTCCCAAAGTGCTAGGATTATAGGCATGAGCCACTGTGCTGGGCCCCTTCAAATTATTCATCTGTTTTTTTTTCCTTGACTGAGGGCTGAAAATCTGCAGCATGCTAGCTGTGGGCATGTTCAGATATTCCACACACAAAAGTATATAAAAATTCATCAAGCAGAAGAGAGGACGCGTGATCATGCTACCTAGGCGAGATTTCTTTCCTTTTTTCTTTTTTTAAATTTTACTTTAAGTTCTGGGATACATGTGCAGAAAGTGCAGGTTTGTTACATGGTTTCTGATTGACATGCAGGGTCATTTTCACTCTCAGCACAAGGAATGGAATGGGCCAGGTTTCCACCCTGATTTTGCCACATGCAGAAGTGACGGCAAGGGTTTAAAGGGACACGGCTTCCATTTGCTGATTACATTACAGCAGGAAGCTTCCACACACAAGCTGATGCCATCAGAGCCCGCCACCGGGGGATATTAATAGAAGAAGGGGTGAGTGCGGGGACTCATGCCTGTACTCCCAGAACATAGCACCTGGAACGTGGGTTCTGTGTTGTTGCCTCCTCAGCTCTGAGCGGCTCTGTCCAAATGAGAAGAAGGAAGAAAGGAGAAGTCACTCCAGTCTCCCACAAAGAATAGCAAGGGTAGGCTGAGCATTTATTTTGTTTTATTTTTCAAAGTTGCTGACGTTAAAAAGGAGCACAGAAACATTTTTAAAACAAAAACCTAAGACAATTTCCTCATGACTTTTTATTCTAACTCGCTTTCGGAAACATCTCTTGGTCAAGGTTCGGCCCCATTCTTGAAATCCTGTAATGTCTCTTTCAATACAGAGACTCACCGTCTCCGATATCTTCCTAGCTTATAACACAATCTCCTTCATAGAAGAAACCAACCAGCACTTGATACAAGAACAGAGAACGGTTCTGAGTACCGCAGTCATCATGGCTGGAGTTCCCCGTACTCATGTCCCGTCTAGTCCATAGCACATGAGAGGGCCACGGAGAGGGACGTCATGGTCACAGCACACCTGAGACGTGCCCAGTAAACATTCATCAGATTATGGAACTAATACATAAACTTGAATACCTGAGCAAAATCTACATGACCCTTTTGATGCCACCCCTACCCAAACAAAGAAAAATGAGGAATTGTCCAGTAGAATTCTCCCCTCAAAAACTTCATTGCCCTTTTTCTTATCGTTCCATTGTTTGGGACAAAATAAAGGGCATTTACACAAATGTTATTCCAAAGGGTCCAATACAATAATGCCAGAAACAGCCATTACTTACTCAGTATCTTGTACATGTGAGCCAGTGGCCAGGAACTTCAGGAATACTTCCTGGAACCTTCACAACAGCCTTTTACAGTAATCACTGGTGTGCTCCATCTCATAGCAGAGCAGGCTGGGGTCATCCGTCAGGTGAGGAGCTGAAATCCAAATCTGCCTATTGCTTTCAGTTTCTTGGACGCGTCCCAGGGAGTAAGGCTACCTCCAAGGCAGGCAGGAGGCACACTGGCAGACTGAAGGAGTGGTGTACCTCTGGGCCTCACACACGCACTCTGCTGATGTCACCCTGGGGTGGGGACGGCACTCACAGGGCTCACGGCCCCTGTGGCTTCACCATCAGACAAAGTACGAATGGAGAGATACCTTTACAAAGGAGAGAGAGTGTGTGTGTGTGTGTGTGTGTGCGTGCGTGAGAGTTTTAATATAAGAAACACATTTTTGCGAGGTGAGGTGGTAGGGGGCAGCCCTTCTCTGATGCTGCCCAAGTTACAGTAACCATAATTGGTACACAAGGAAAACGCAGCACTCAAGTGTCAGGCCTGGCATCCTTAGCCACCATCTCCCTGACTGAACTGTGATCGCTGGCTCATTAAAAGCACCGTGTTTTACTTAGAGAGATTTGAGGTTATTCATAAATAATTCAGTGCTACTGGGAGGGCGAAAACAATTGTGAGAACATTAAATTTCCATTAAACATACTAAATGCAAGCAGGCTCTCAAGTGATCTCCTGGGCACAGGATCCAGTACAGCATTCAGTTAGGTATCAAGAGAAAGCCCCCCGTACAGTGCATGCTAACTTGTTGTTTAAGATAAGAGTGAAAAATCAAAGAGTCCAAGACAGTTGAAAATGAATAAATCACAAACTTTGGTAAAAGACAATAGCTCGTGGAGAATATTTTATGCCAAAGGAATGTGAATAAATGTGAATAAAATTGAGACAAGAGTGAAAGTCGAGTTACTCTTACTGGAATGTATGAGTAAAGCCTCTTATTTATTTATTTATTTTTTATTTTTATTTTTATTTTTTTGTAGACAGAGTCTCACTCTGTCACCCAGGCTGGAGTGCAGTGGCGCGATCTCGGCTCACTGCAATCTCTGCCTCCCAGGTTCAAGCGATTTTTCTTCCTCAGCCTCCCGAGTAGCTGGGACTACAGGCAACTGCCACCACACCTGCCTAATTTTTGTATTTTTAGTAGAGAGGAGGTTTCACCATGTTGGCCAGAATGGTCTCAATCTCTTGACCTGCTGATCCACCCGCCTCAGCCTCCCAAAGTGCTGGGATTACAGATGTCAGCCACCGTGCCTGGTCAAGTCATTGTTTTAAATCCAATTCCGAAGGTATCTAAAATCCCAGGGAGCAGGAGGAGGTCAGCCCATCTATTCCTTTGCCCCTGCAGACAGTGCCAGCATCAGCCCAGGAAAACTTTTTATCTATAAAATTAGAGAAGAGAGGTCTTACGGCCTCCCAGGGTGAGCACTGCTGTTATTAGCAGGGAGCAGAACCTGCAGCCCCATGTTCAGCTGCTCTTAATAGGATGATTAGTTCAGGTGTGGGAGGAGACAGAACAACGATCTTGCCTAAGCGGAGATAATATTGTACAGCTCATCTTACTAAAATGTGACATTGGTAAAATATTTGAGGGTTGTCACTAAGTGCATATGACAATAACTGATATTTATTGAGTGCCAGAGAGTGTCGCAACGGTATTGCGTGTCTCAACTCATTTCATCAAACTAGACGGCAAAGTGATTCTAGACAGTCGTGGTACCAGGCGACCTCACTGGTTCCCACTGCAGGGATTCTTACTTGTTTTGCAATCCATTTACCACAGTAAGGTGAGAATTTTTATTTTCTCTCTAATCACCTTGTTAGATGAGTAATTGGCAAATGGTAAAATTCACCCAGGCTGGAATGCAATGGCACAATCTCAGCTCACTGCAACCTCTGCCCCACCCCGGGTTCAAGCAATTCTCCTGCCTTAGCCTCCCGAGTAGCTGGGATTACAGGAACCCACCACCACACTCAGCTAATTTTTAGTAGAGACGGGATTTCGCCATGTTGGCCAGGCTGGTCTCAAACGCCTGACCTCAAATGACCCACCCGCCTCAGCCTCCCAAAGTGCTAGGATCACAGGCGTGAGCCACCACACCCAGCTGGTAGTAGTTTTCAGCAAAGAATTTTTACACATATATTTTAGTTTTATCCCTAACAATTCCAAAGTTTTTATGTGATTGTTAATGTATTTTGCTAATTTTAATTTCCTAAAGTGCTAGGATTACAAGCACCCACCATGATGTCCGGCTAATTTTTGAATTTCTAGTAGAGATGGGGGTTTTACCATGTTGCCCAGGCTGGTCTTGAACTGCTAACCCCAAGTGATCCACCTGTTTTGGCCTCCCGAAGAGCTGGTATTGCAGATGTGAGCCGCCACTCCCGGGCCCTTGTTTAACATATTGATATTGAGAACTACACTTACTTGTTTTCAAATGTCAAAACAGCCTTACATTCCTGGGATGAATTTCAATGAGTCATCCTACATTTTCTCATTTTGCTGGATTTCACTTCTCAAAATTGTGTTAGCGATTTTATTTGTCCCTGTGCATGTGGAGTATTGTTCTGTAGTATGTTTTTCTTGTAATGTCTTTGTATGGTTTTGCTTTCACAGTAGTTCTAGTCTCATCAAATAAGTTGAGAATGTGATCTGTCCTCTTTTATTTTTTGGAAGACATTGTGCTGAATTATGAGTATTTTTTTCATAAATTATTTTGTAAATTTTATCAGGGAAAATATACAGGCTTGTAATTTTATTTCTGTAGTGAATTAATTATGATTTTGTTGATCTACTTCTTGGTTGAGATTGGAAACTTTCTTTTTAATCCCTCAAATATATTGCCTTACCTTTATTTTAATATCTCTTATGCTTTTGTTACCACTAGAGTTTGTAATAAATTGTTAATTTCATTCCTAATATTGGAAATTTGTGTATTTCATTTTTTTTTCCATAATCACACTAGTTAGAGTTTTAGAAATCTTATTCATCTCTTCAAAGGATTAGTTTTGGTGTCACTGATTTTCTCTACATTTTTCTGTTTTCTATTTTTTTTGTCTTTATCATTTTCCTTTCCACCTTCTTTGCATTTAATTAGCTTTTCTTTTTTTAGTTTCATAATCCTGGAACTTATATCATGGAATTGAAACTTTCTTTTCTTTTCTAATATAAACATTTTAAGCCTATAAATTCTCCTCTAGGTACTGCTTTAGCTGCATCTTACCCAATTTTATGAATTCTACTACATTTTTACTCAATTATAATAAAGTATAAATTTTCTGATATTTCTTCTTTGACCATTGTATGTAAAATACTGTTGTTTAATTTTCAAATAGCTGGACATTGTCAAGATACCTTTGTGTTCCTCAATTTTAATTTTAATTTAATTCTGGTGTGTTCAGAGAACACACTTAGTATTATTTCAGTGACTTTATACCTGTTAATATGTGTTTTATGGCCAGGAGTACAGTCTTGATCACTACTGTATGGGCACTAGAACATTATCCGTACCCCTCTGCAGTTGGGTGCAGTAATCAGCAAATGTCAATAAGCTCAAGTTGGGATGGCAGGGCTCTTCAGGGCTTCCGGACTCTCATTTCACTGTGTCTAATAATTCCATCAATTGATAAGAGAGGGGTGTTAAACACTCCAAAAACAAGTAGATGAATCCAACAATTTTGGATTTATCTATTTCCTTTTTCAGTTCTGTCAGATTTACCTTGAATCTTTGTTATTAGTTGCATAGACATTTAAGAATAACATTTTTTTCTACACAAATTAACTTCTTCAATATTATATGTGTCTCTTTATACCTGGTAATACTTCTCCTTAGGCAGTCTAATTTGATATTAATTAGCTACTTAAGCTTACTTTGGGATAGTGTTTGCTTAACATGCTTTGAATTTTGTCTTATAATTTTATGTCTTTATACTTAAAGAGGGTTTAAATAGACATCCTTTCACATCTTGCTTTTTATCTAAAGTGAGAATCTCTGTTAATATCATTTACATTTAATATAATTATTAACGTGGTTGTGTTAAATGCAGTAGTTCATTAGTTGTTTTCCATTTCTCCATCTGTTCTTTATTCATTTTATCCTCTTTCTATGTATTGCCTTCTGTTGAGTATTATTATTATTCCATTTTATTTTACTATTGGCTTATCAGCTGTGCTTTAAAATGTTTAACCTATTTATTTATTTATTTTATTTTATTTTTCTGAGACAAGGTCTTGCTCTGTCACCCAGGCTGGAGTGCAGTGGCATGATCACAGCTCACTGCAGTCCCGACCTCCTGGGCTCAAGTCATCCTCTTGCCACTGCCTCCTGAGTAGCTGAGATCACAGGTGTGCACCACACCCAGCCAATTTTAGTCTAGTCTAGTCTAGTCTGTAGAGATGGGGTCTCAGAGTGTTGCCCAGAGTGGTCTCAAACTCCTGGGCTCAAGCGATCCTCCTGTCTTAGCCTCCCAAAGTGCTGGAATTACAGGTGTGAGCCACTGTGCCTGGCCTGAAATTTTTAATTTTTTCTAAGATCTGCATGTGCACATTTAATTTAATTTATCAGAACATATCTGTGATTGTCATTAGACAAGTCAATTATCCCCGTCACCCTCCCTGACATGCACGGTTATTTCAGTGCTCCATCACAGCCCTTAAGCGCTCCATGGGACCCCTCTCAAGGCTGTTGTCACAGTTGCTATCTTATATACTTTTTTCTGAATGATGACTTGATGAATGCACCTTCTAATATAATCTATGCTCCAAGAAGACAGGAGACAGATCTGTGCTATTCTATTTCCCATGTCCACATGCAGCATCAGGCACATGACAGCGTGTTAAGGCACTAGAGAGTAAATACTTACTGAATCAGAAAATAAGTCCATGAATAAATAAATAACTGGATTTTTCTCCAAATGTTTCATTCTACATTGGGAACATATCCCTTCCACCACAAATCCTCCTCTGTTCTCTCTGTTGTCTAAATATCAATTAGAATCTTTGATCATCTACTTGGTACTAGGCCTATATTTCACTTCATCTCTTTTTTCTTTCTCTCCTCTTTTTTTTACATAAACACCACATACACACACACATCCTTACACATTTACACATAACTTATCTAAGCTTTTAAAAAATAGTTCTTAATTTTAATACAGTCTTCACATGCATAAGTACGTGACATATAATACAAATATATATGCAAACACGTAAATTTAATGTGATTTTCAAGCCCTTTCTGACATGAATATAAAACTGACAAGTGTGACTCAAGTGAGGGCTATATCAAAGTTCACATTTAGATGAAATACGCCTCTGCTTGGCTCCTCTTAACAAGTGTTTTAGCTTCTTGTGCCCAAACCAGGTCATGTATCAACAAAGAAAAATGGTTTCTGCCCTATAGTTATTTGAGAAATTGATTAGAGAAGTTAAAAGTCAGATTGGCGGTGCTAGACCTGAAAAGAGGTAGGAATTAATCAGCAGAGGGTCAAAGAAATCTGAATCCTGAATATGCCCGTGGGATGAGGGCACCCGATTCGATTGTTATTTAGTCGACTTGAATATTAATTAGGAAATGTCCTTAGATTTATGCTCCCTGTGAAACTTAGAAAACTGCCTTCATTTCCGTCAGAAGATGAATTCGAAATTTATATTTCCTTTTCCTTTAACGATATTGACGTTCTTCTTGACTCTTATGTCGTCCCATTCCAGGGATTAAGGGGTGCAGCTCTCTCCACCCCTGCGAAGGGAAGCACGCCAATCTCCCGTTATGGACAGGGTGGGGCTGGATGCTCCTTCACCCCCGCCCCAGGCTCTGCTGCACACTGCCCGTCCACGCAGCCCAGCCTGCTGAGGCCTCAGTGCTGCCGTTTTCCCGGTGCTTACGCTCGGGCACAGCAATCGATTTGGACAGGGAAGTGAGTCCCGTTGCAGGCATGGCTCGAGGGTTTCTAAGAAAGGACCATAATGTAAACTATCCCCCTGGCTTGTCACCTGGGAAGTTAATAGGCCACTCCCACCCTGGCGGAGCCCCTTCCTTCACCGCTGGGGCCCACCTCCGCACGGTCCCTCGGGCCTGCAGGGGCCTCTGTGCAGGTGCATGGCGATGTGTCGGCGCAGGGTGGGGAAGCAGGAACTTGGCCATTGAGCCAGAGAGAAATGGGAAGGGCGCGGACACGTGAGGGAGAGAGATATTAATACTTGAGAAGAAGGAGAATAAAGCCCAGGTGGCTCATGGGTTTGCCCACGGTTCCCTGTCTAACCCAACCTGACTCTTACCAGTGCCTGCCTGCAGGTGGGTGGCCTCAAAGGACAGGGCCCCCACCTGGACAGCGCCTCCAATGAGAGGGCCTCATGGATGACCCCTCTGCCTCCCTCTTCCGATGCTTAAATCCTTCCCACAGCACTGGACTCTGCGGATGCCCGGCCTCTGCCTGTCCCCTGCACCCACAACTCAAAAAACCAAAGTACTGCAGATCAGCAGCTTCTTCTTACTGAGCCCAAAGCTGCCTCCTTTAAATTTCACACATTGGATTTAGCTGAATCCAGAGGTCCACCCTTCATATTCCCCTTCATATTCCTGGAAAACGTGTTGTGCCTCTGACTCTCCGCCTCCCCGGGCTAGAATTTCAACAGTTACTCCAAGGACGTCCTATCATCCTCGCCACTGTTTTTTTAAAAACTCCACTTCCCCTATGCCGTTATTAATGCGTGAGGTTCAAAACTACACAAACGTCTTCATATATTGTCCAAAAAGTCAGAATAAAGGGGAATATGCTTCTTCTCAAACCATGCTCTCAGAATTGCAGCTTTCGCCTTTACCTGGGGTCTCAGGTCGCGGCATCACGTCACACCCGGCGAGAAACAGGATTGAATCCTCCTGTCTTTCCAAAAGAAAGCCAGAGACAAAGTTTTCATGTTTACGGAAGGTTATGCGCAAAGGAGAGGAAGAAAATACCCCAAAATGAGAAGAACATTTTATTTTTATACTCATGTATTTGACTTTTTAAAAAAAGAAAGTTTCTTCAATTCTTAAAAGAACTAGATAACAAAATAATTCTTTAGAACTTCTTGGCCTAAATGCTATGATCAGGTTGTCTTTTCACTTTAGAAAGGATTTTTTAAACTGCATATCCAAATGCACATCTTGAGAAGTGGCTTTTTTTTCTGTTGCTCATACATATTAATAGGAACTTCCATGGAATGCCACCGAACTATATCTTCGTTAAATCTGAGAAACATAGAAATCCAAGTTCTTGAATAGGTCATCATTTCAAGAAACATGAGTGGTGTCACATTTTGATGATTTAAATCATATGGGCTGGTAAAATCAATGTTCTTCCACTTCCCTGCATAATGTGCCCTCTACCGCCTACCCCAGCAATTGTATCAAGATGCAAACAGCCGTGATCGCTGAGTGACAGCCAGAGAGATTTTGCCTAGCGTAAGTTCTGGCATCACACAATTGGCTGAGAATTGCAGCTCCACCACTTACAGGGAGTGTGAAATTGGGAAAATTACTTAACCACCCTAAGATGAGTTATCGTATGCAGCAGACACGGGTCATGGAAAGGGTGGTGGTGAGGATGCTGAGAGGTACCAGGGACCATCTCCTTCCCCGTGAACAGCTACTCCTGTTTCCTGTCATGAAGACTATGGGTTGCATTCTCATGCTTGTCATCCAGAAAATAAGTTAGGAAAACCTGGGACGTACGGAGGATGGTTTGTTAATTCCTGCGCTCCTCGATTTATATGCATAAGGCTATTGCCCATTCCTGCATGATTACCTTCGTTAAAAACACCTTTCTCTTGCTCTAACGAGACTCTGATTTGGGGAAACCAATCTAGAAGTAGAAGCCAGTGGAGCAAACACAGAGTGCAGCCTCTGCTCCACCTTGGCCACCAACCACGCAGCTCGGTGACCCAGAGCATCAGCCTTGCCTAGAGCTTGTCAGATGTTCTGATTCTCCACCTCCAGCGCAGACCCCCATGTTGAAATCCACAGTTTAACACATTTCCCCAAGGAGTCACAGGCTCTGAGGAGCCCCACTCGAGACCACCACAAGGCGAATGAGAAAGAGGATAAACACAGGCACAGTGTGGACTCACAGAACACAGGGTGACGTGAGTGAGACCCTGCTGAACCCCATAATTGCACACAGGAGGAATTCATCAAAACACAGAAGTTATTTTCTACAAATTCTAATTGTGGTGAGTCAGAACTGGATCTCAATATTGCATTATATTCATAATATCATTCTGTGTACCTTTCGAGCCACATGGAAAAAAGATCATAGAACCAAAACTAGAGGATAAGTAATTTTATTCACATCACTGTTGTTGAGTTGGATGGGACTTGCACCTGCCTTGTATACCACAGTCTCTGCGCTGACACTCAGGATGTGTATAGAGAATGGTGCTGAGTGAATGAGGGAACCAGAGGCAAGTCACAGGAAATAAAGGAACGTTGGTGCATGTGCAGATGAAATATTAGATTGTTTTCAGCTCATATGAATGATCTGGGGAAGAGTTTGCTGGTAGCAAGAACATCGAGAGATTTTTTTGCAAACTGATTAATTGAACATTTAACAGCTTGTTTTCACGTACAGTTTACCCAATTTATATAAGCAATTACTGAATTTGCATGTACAAATGGATGCAGCTGCAAAGCCTAAGGTATTTTTTTATTAGATCTACTAAATTTGAATCAGAACATAGGTTTAAAAGTAGCATTTGACATAGCTGTTTCTGCTAATGACAAACAGAGACCAGCATCCTGTATTTGAAAAAAGGTTATTGAGAAGGTCAATTTTACCAAATGAACTAATTGGATTTGAAATGCGTGAAATCTTGTTTTACAGTTAAAAGGCGACAATCACATCCTACCTTGATCAAGTCCTAACTCTTCAACTGTTTTAAGTTGGTTATTCAGAAACAAACCGGTGGAGTACAGGTAACCTACAGCAAAATGTGCTCACAGCAATGATGTTAATGCCTATTTCCGTTTATTACATCACGTGGATGCCACTTTGTTTATCAAGCATTTTCCTCTTGATTTCTCACTGGAATATGAAGGATGGGTAAGACACTTCAGTACTGTGGTAGATAATTTTATCAAAATTTGGCATGGTACATACTGAAATTTTTTTAGATTCTGTCTTCCCGATTTGCCTGCTTTCTTGTCTCTGGTACCTGTATTCTGAACCAAATAAAAGTGGTTTCATATATAAATAAGGAAAGATGTTATTTTAATTTCTGATTAATTTTAAGCAAAGAGAATTTCATGGTACATCTGTGTAGATACCTCCAAATTCTTGACAATATATTGAATATATCAGAGGGTTATTAGTAAATTCATGTTCCTGGGAGTTTTCTTCATGCTTTATATAGTAAATTAATTCGAGAAGAATCTGCCAGATGATGTTTACAATCACTTGTACACAAAAGTTACTATTGTGATATTCATTTCAAGCTTTTCAAATCAGACAGAAGTGCTCGAACATTCCTATATTTTAAATTATGTTGGTGCACAGTAAGCTAAATAACTTGCGACTCCCTGGTTATACATCCAACAGGGTCTTTCAATCTCAGATATTTCCAACCTTTTTATCTTCATTAACCTAAATCAAAAAGAGTTGAGGTGACAATGAGAGATTGTTCAACCCATAAAACAAATCCAATAAATTTCAACTTGTTTGAGGCATTGCCACAGAACCTAAAATACCCTTATGAGAATTTATAACAATGATTTGTTCCTTCAAGCCTTCATGGATGTTCCATTTTATTGTTTCTCTTGATTTATAAACCACCTCGGACATTTTTGGCCATGGAGTCCTATTACCTTCCCTTTAGTGCTTCGTGAGTTTCAAGTTTTTCTGGGATGAAAGCATTTTATATTTAGAGGAATTCAGTGGGAATTTGTATAAATGGACTGATGAAAAGTCTCCAGATGGTATCAGTCTAAATGGTATAATACACTCAAGGCTAAATTGACTTAATTATGAAATCACATATATGTGTGCTCGTATCCCAGCTATTTACTCAGGTGTCAGGCATTAATGCAAGTTTCTCATTGACTACTGCTATTTTCCATAACAACAGATAAAAGGAGGTATGCCAGGTACTGTGCAAGTGGGTTTATGTGTGTTCCATTCACATAGATTGCAACACAACCCTGTGATGTAGGCATTATTGTTATCCCGACTCTGCAAATAAGAAGACGGTGGGGCCCAGGAGAAAGGACAAAACCTGTTCCAGCTCCCACATCCAGTCAATGGTTAATTGAAGATCTAATGAACAGGTTCCAGTAAATGGCATTGCAACCAATTTGCCTTGGATATGTAGCTGAAAACACTCAGAGATTACAGTCAGGAGAGCAGGGTTTGAGTCCAAATACTATCACTAACAAGGTTTTTGGGCTTGACTTCTGGTACTTACAGTTTCTCATATATTGCTGTAACAGTTGGGCTTTTTAACTGCTAAGCTATGCTCCCACCAAAACATTGTAGAGTCTAATGAAAACCATTAAATGTATTTTTCAAAGTTTCTTTGTGGCCTTTAGATTATCGTCCTGAATTTCAAATTCCAGTTTTAAACTATTTGGATGAAAATATATAAGAGATCTGAAGCCCGCCGATTTCTCTGAAAATTGAGCTCCCTTCAAAATGTACACTCTAGATTTTATTTTTTGTAATCGAAATTTCCTCAGGTTCATTATTCACAGTTAAAACACTCAGTTGTGGTTGAAAGCACCATTACGGTACCTGGACCCAGGCCATTCACTTTAAAGCCTTTGCTTGCCCTCCCCACACCCCTGGGCAATAAACACCCTCCCCACACCCCTGGGCACTAAGCATCCCCAGGCCCCAAGCAGCAGCGGTCAGCTGCCCAGGAGGGAGGACGCAAAACTGACCTCTTGACCCCTTAGGGGTAGCTCCTGGTCTTCGGCCGGCATGTTTCTGGGAACCACATCTCAACGTGTGTCTTTACGTCTTTCTAGCATGATTGCTTTCATCTGTTCATACCTGGTTTGGCATCACTGTTACTTTTTATAAAAGCAGGATTGTATTATCCTTAAATATTATTTTGTAATAGGGAATACATACGAGGGGAACTCACTTCAAAAGTGGAAATAAGCATCATAACCCACTGAAGCTGGAGTTTTTAATATATTGTGTACCACTGTAGAGGTATCCTGTGTGCACACTGTGTGTACATATGTGTATCCATGTGTGCACATGTGTATGCATGTGTATGTGAGCACATGTATGTGCATGTATGTGGGTCTTTGCAGGTGTATGCATGTATGTGGGTCTTTTTTATTATACTTTAAGTTCTAGGGTACATGTGCACAACGTGCAGGTTTGTTACATATGTATACATGTGCCGTGTTGGTGTGCTGTACCCATTAACTCATTATTTACATTAGGTATATCTCCTTTGTGAGCATGTGTGTGCACACTTGTGTGCATATATGTGGGTCTTTGTGTGCATGTGTGTGCCTGTCTGTATGTGCATGTGTGGGGGTCCTTGTATGGATGTGTGTGCACGTGTGTGCATGTATGTGGGTCTTTGCATATGTGTTCATGTCTGCGCATGCACACATGTGTGCATGTGTGGGGGTCCTTGTGTGGATGTGTGTGCACGTGTGTGTTCACATGTGTGCATGTATGTGGGTCTTTGCATGTGTTTCATGTCTGTGTGTGCACACATGTGTGCATGTGTGGGGTCCTTGTGTGGATGTGTGTGCACATGTGTGTGCATGTGTGTGCCCATGTATATGTATATGTATGCACATATGTATGCATGTGTGGGGATCCTTTTGTTGATGTGTTCCATTCTCAGCACTCTCCTTCTTGATTCTTTCCACTTATCCACATATTTTGCAAATTGTTTTATGCCAGTACCTGTAGACTTTCTGTATTCTTAATGGCTATATAGTAGTTACTTATTTTAGAAAAGCTTATTTAAAGTAGAGAAATTCAAACGTGTGAAAATCATAAGTGCACACTAAGTTGACTTTACAAAGTGAACCTCTATCATCAGCTCCCAGGTCATAGCCAGTGCCCCCAGGCCCCTTTCTGTGGCTGCTTCTGCTCACTGACCCTAACAGAAACTAGCCACCCTATGGCTAACAGCACGGATTGTGGTTGCCTTTAAAACAGCTTTATATAAATGGACATACCCAGTATGCATCCTCTCGAACTGGCTTCTCTTGCTCAGTGTTGTGGCTTTGAGGTTCACGCCAGGGAGTGCATGGCAGGACTTTGTTCGTGCTGTCTGCGCACAGTGTGCATTGTGGAAAACGTGATACCTTTCCTGTTTGATGGACACTTAAATTCCTTTTAATGTTAAAATCTCATGACCATAAGAGAAAGTATCTTTCTTTTCCCGCCTGTAGTTTGGGAAAATCTAAGAAAATGAATTTATTATTTTACTTTCATTTTTTATTTTTGAGATGAAGTTTCACTCTTGTTGCCCAGACTGGAGTGCAATGGTGCAATCTCTGCTTACTACAGCCTCCACCTCCCAGGTTCAAGCAATTCTCCTGCCTCAGTCTCCCTAGTAGGTGGAATTATAGGCACGCACCACCAAGCCTAGCTAATTTTTTTGTTGTTATTGTATTTTTAGTACAAACAGGGTTTCACCATGTTGGCCAGGCTACTCTTGAACTCCTAACCTCAGGTGATCTGCGTGCCTCCACCTCCCAAAGTGCTGGGGTTACAGGCATGAGCCACCATGTCTGGCCAGAAAATGAATTAGACCACACCTGGATCAAATCCCCACCCTCACACTACCATCTGTGGCTATGGTGAAGGGGTTCCCAAATGATGGTAGCTCCCTTTTAAGCCAGATGGCCAAAGCAAACACTCACTTCCCTGAAGGAAGAGTAGCTGGCCCTTAAAGAAGAAAGACGTGATAGGTTGAAGAGCAATCTTAAATGTTCATTAAACATTTTATTTTACTGTTGACAATACTGTGTCACAGATATTTAAGGACAATTGCCTGGGTTTATTTTGGTCACTGGTTGAAAAGCTAAGATTAGAGTCCAGAGGTCTCCATGCTCCAGGACAAATGCATGTCTTCTTGAGGAAAATATTTCTAAGGGTTCTGATTTCCATGTGAGAAAATAAAATGTGTCTGATGCTTGGTGATTATATGTCACCTCAACTTCATCATCTCCTCACTTTGTAGAGCTGCATTAAAGAGACATATTAAAGTACCAAGTTCTTCACTTATTGACGACAGGACGCTCCTTGACATTTAATCATCTTAAACATTCATATTAAATGGAGTCATTGCTCTATCAGTTCATCTCTTTTATAAAATTATCAGTAGGAAACAGTTCATCAGTTTAACTCTGGATTCCAGTTGGCCAGCTTATAATTTTGTGAACATCTGTAGACCTTTTTGAAACACGAGAGCTCTTTTTTAACCACAAAACATTTTGTAATCCAACACATGAACTTCCCCTGATCATTCTTCAGCTAATAAGCCTGTGATTATCTGTTCTTTGTGTGAAGAGAACAGGAATGCAAAAACTCCTAGTGAAAAATGTGTCCTTTTGATGAGTTGACTCATGTCATGATCTTATTTTTAATGAGAGTATTTTTAAGAAGCTAAAAATAGTCCCTAAATTTAGTACTATACCTCATATACATGAACACATCCATCTGGTTTATATGCAAACCTTGTCTTTGAAATGATCATTATTGGTTTTAAAAAGCAGTTGAAGAGAAATATACAAAAAGCATCCTCATATATGAGATCTAGCTGCAAAACTCAAGAACCTAAATGTCTTAAAGGATGTATATAAAGACATGCTTGTGCAGAATTGCTTGAGGGAAAGCAGGGTGGGAAACAGCTCCTTTTGCACCTGAGTGTTCCAGTCCATCTATTTTATTCTGTCTTTTCTGTCCTATAACAATTAGGTGCTCTGATCTAATGCTCCCTAATGTTCAGCCTTGCACCAAAACCTACTTTACAGATAGACTGTGATGTATATCTGCCAATCTAAATCTGTGTATCTATATATCTAAATCCAGATGTAGATAGATATAGATATATAGATAAATAGATATAGATATATGGATATCAATATCCATTATGTATCTATAGATGTATCAATGTATCAATATCTATAGATATCTATATAGATATATCTAGATATGCCTACATATCTAAATATAGATATATAGATATCTATGTCTGCTATGCATCTATAGATGTATCAATGTATCAGTATCTATAGATATCTATATAGATATATCTACATATGTAGACATATCTAGATATAGAGATAGATAAATGGATGATTGATCGATACATAGGTACATACACACATACATACATACACAGATATATAGATACATAGATGTATAGATGGTGTAAATTTAGGTGTTCACGATAATTCCTTGATACCATCAGCATCTCCTACAATCTTTGGGAAATTAATTGATATCTGCCTTCTCCAATTTCCCCTCCCTGGCAAGCAGGAACCCAGCACTCTGCACTCAGGTTCAGGATGGAAATCATGAGACCTGCGGCAAAAAGAACATGATACATATTTAAAATATATCTTGTACTTGTGGTTGATACATGGATGCAGAAAAGGAATACTGGACTAGAAATTCCTAGTATTTTTCCTGGCATTTTTCCAGTGTACTCTGAATAATAAACATATTCTTCATGTTCTTCATTATGTACTTCAGATGCCAACCTCAAAAAAGGGAAAACAGGCCTGAAATGTACAATACTTAGAACCACTCAGCCTTCGGTGTGCATCAGACTTTGAACTGGGCATTGTTTCAAAACTAACCAAAATCTTACCAAGTATTGTGAAAAGTGGGATTGATCTATAAAAATTCACTGATATTGATCATTTTCATTGCAATTGAGTTTGATAATACCATTCCAAATCCTTTACGGAAGTCACTGTAAGAATGTTGCATGTCAACCACACGATAAATCATTTTCACAAACCCTCCTTTTCCTGTTGATTGGTTTTTCTCTCTCTGAAATATTCCATCAGAACTTTGTGTGCAGCACCTGGATCCTTTCAGCCTGGGCTGCAGCCATCTGGCTCCTGGAGGAAGCATCGCTGAAGACCCATGATGGCTTCAGGAGCTCCTAGAGGATCCACTTTGGTTCATACTGAAGCCCAAAGCCCTTTATTAAACGTCCCCACCCCCATATCCTACTGTGTACCATATAACAATAAATAGTCCAACCCATCACATAATAGCCGGCCAGTATTTACCAGAGTGTGTTGGAACCCACTCATTCGAGCATTTCTTGTACCTACAGTGAGAAAAGCAAGGACTCATCAACACAATCAGAAACTCACAATTTCCTTCTGTTTAATAGTTTTGCAACCCTATTAGCATTATTTACTTTTTTAAAAAATTGTAAATCTTTGTTTTAATTTCTAAGTTGTAGTTCTACAGTGTAGCCTGTGGGCTTTAATACGACAAGTAATTAACAACTGCAGGCCTTTTGTGTTCATATAGATATAAAAACATCTTCCATGCTGAGCGACATGAGAAGGAATCTGAAAGTCTTTGTTGATTCTAAAAGACCCTTCCCTGGTGAGAAATTCCCAGGTTCTTTGTTTTTCATTTTTATAACTGACACATAAAAATTGTCTATATTCAATCCATCATGTACAACGTTTCGAAATTTGTCTGCCTTGTGAAATGACTAAATTGAGCTAATTAACATATGTCACCTCATATTCTTATATGGTGAGAACACTTAAAATTACTCTTTTAGCAATTTTCAAACATATATTATATTGTTATTGTATTAGGGTTCTCTAGAGGGACAGAACTAATAGGATAGATGTATATATGGAAGGGAGCTTATTAAGAAGAGTTGACTCACAGGATCACTAGGTGAAGTCCCACAATAGTCTGTCTGCAAGTTGAGGAGCAAGGAGGCCAGTGATGGATCAGTCCAAGTCCCAAAACCTTTCCTGCACTAGGGAAGCCGACAGTGCAGCCGAGAGTCTGTGGCCAAAGACCCGAGAGCCCCTGGTAAACCACTGATGTAAATTCAAGGTCCAAAAGCCAAAGAACTTGGAGTCTGAAGTTCTACAGCAGGAAGCATCCAGCACAGGAGAAAGATGCAGGCTGGAGACTCGCAAGTCTGTTCATTCCACCTTCTCCTGCCTGCTTTATTCTAGCCATGCTGGCAGCTGATTAGATGGTGCCCACCCAAATTAAAGGTGGGTCTGCGTCTCCCAGTCCACTGACTCAAATGTTAATCTCCTTTGGCAGCTCCCTCACAGACACATCCAGGATCAATACTTTGCATCCTTCAATCTAATCAAGTTGACACTTAATATTAACCATCACAGTTACCCACTAAGTCATCACGTTGTCCGATAGATCTTGAACCTGGAGGACATCGTGTTCTGTGCAGTAAGCCAAGGACAGAAAGATGAATGCTGCACAGACTCACTTGTATGTGGAGGCTGAAGATGTTGAACCTGTAGAAGTAGAGAAAGGAATGATTATCACCAGGGGCTGGGGCTGTGCGGTGGGGACATGTTGGTCAAGGGATACAAAATGTCAGTTAGATGGGAAGAGTACGTTATCAAATCTTTCTATACCTTCATTTCCTGGTCTCTAAAATTCATGGCACAGAACCCTGCCACGTGGCCAGCACATCTCAGGTGTTGGATGGACGTGGGCACCTCCATTGGCCAGTTCCTCTCTTCAGGTCCCTGGCCCTTGTCCCACAGCCTCAGGAGACAGCTGGTTCCACGACAGAGGTGCAGGTGGGAGAGGGGGCGGCAGGCGGGAAGCTGAGCTTCTCGCACCCCAGCCTGCCCTGTGGGGCCTCGGGATGGGTGCCCAGTTCTGGGGCTCGGTTGGCATGGCCTCCTCCCTCTGCCGTGAGCCTGGGCAGGCAGGTCCAGGTAACCTCCACATCCTGTCTGCTTCGTCAGCCTCTTCCATCACCTGTAACCGAGGCTCTGCTGAGTCCTCCCAGACTGAGGGACGCAAAGTTGTTCTCCTCCCTTGCCCTCCTCCCCCGTCCACCCACAGCACTCTGTCCAGTATTGAGCCATTTAAGCAGCGTTTAGAGAAGGCCCCAGATCCCTGGCCTCACCCAGGCTCGGGTCTCCACTGCCACTGCCTCCCAGGAGCCTCGGACCTCCTGACTCTCCTCCAGCCCTTGCTCCTGACTCCCCTTCTCCACACCACGTCTTTGACATCCAGTTTCACACTGTCCATCTCTGTCTTTTAGTTCTTTCGTTTATTTTTGTCTTATTTATCAAAAGAGTTCCTAGAGGGTACAATTGCATCTTACATTATTTTTCAAAACTACAACCCACACCTGAGTATAATATAACTGCTGACCAATATTTCAATATCCAGCAGCTTCTATTCTAATTGCTTTGTATCTTAGTAATAGCAACTATAGTGCCACACAGAGAAATGGCAGGGAAAGCATATGAGATCTTCCAGCTGTAAGAGACACTACAGATAATATTATTTAATTTTTTAAAGATGTGTATATAGAAAAATAGAAGTCAAGAGATGCCACTGGATTTATCTGACACAAAAGCTTAGGGGCAGCTTTCCAGCTTTCCAGCCCAGTAAGAATTTCAGTAAAAGAGGAATTCACCTAAGAATTTTATGACAAAGGTAGCCATTCAAAAGGAATTATGTTCAGTTACTTGTTTTCATTTTAAAAATATGTTATCTGTTTAAATTACAGAAAAAAACAGGCTTATAGGGTATTAAAATCAACTTAAAATTATATATTATTTCAAAATACCTGAATATCATACAAGCTTGGATAAATTATTCAGAAATAACTAGACAAATGTTGAGATAAGTGATGGTGTGACCTCTCTTCTGTTATTATTTTTAATTATCATCTTTTCAAGACAGAGATCCTGCTGTAGAGCATATATCTGGTTAATATGCTCCCGTTCTCTTTGAAATGGTAATTACTGGGGGAAAGTTTTATAAAAAGAAATCAGAAAAACACAAAAACAGAATGATCTTCCCTCCTCGGGGCCCTGGCTGTGCATGGCTTCAAGAGCACCCTCTGAGCCAAGGGAACGACTCCAGTTACACTGTGACCGACCAACTGGGCTGAATAGATCCAGTGCGCATTTCCAAGGTGATTCTGCAATTACAAGGTCCCCAGACCGAAGGGAGATTCTGGCATTTTTGAAGTTACGGTGGTCTCGGAAATACTGTTGAGCGTTTGTTCATTTGACATGCAGGTCAGTAAGACTCACTGTGTGCCAGGCACTGCCCTAGGCTCAGGAGAACTGTCCTAGAGGAACAGACGGGGAGAAGCGAGCAGGTTCCCTGGAACAGGGGCCGATCACCATGCCAGGCAGCCAGGCAGGGGCATGTTACACCCAGGTGTGCGCAGGTTGCCTCTTCCTCACGAAGGAGACCAAAGCAGCTTCAAGCACATGTCCTCCGCTGGCCAGAATCCTGTGCACGAAGAACAGCCCCTCTGGAGAAGTAAGGATTCACCCCAGGGATGCGTTTCTGCTTCAGATCCCAGAGTAAACAAAGGTAGGCTCTGGCCCCTCGGAACGCCTCCTCCAGCCCATCACTGGTGCAGCCACAAGAGTCAGCGTACACAGAAACCCACTGAATTGTTTAAAAAAAGAAAAAAGAAAGAAAAAAAAGAAAAAATAGAAAAGAAAAGGAGGCAGTTCCAGTCATATGGCTTCAAGTCAACAAACAAACACACGGACAGCCCCATCCCGGGCAGCGGGAAGCCCACCAGGCACCACCCTCTTCCCTCGGCTCAGTGACAATCCAGACCCTGACAGACATGTACATGTACTTATCAGGGGTGTTTCTTCCCTAGGCTAGAAATGAGGTCGGTCCCTCATGTTGCATTTTAGGATAAATGTCGAAATTATTAACTTGACAACAAGGAAAATGAGAGACAAGAGAAAACCCACCATGAATCAAGTCATTTAATTTCTATTCAGGACACCAAAGACGATGTAGCAGTGTGATGTGTATAAGACATGTTTAAATGTGGATAGAGGAAACCAGGATTCAGGCATTTGTGACATCCAGATATTATCACGTAGCTATGGGTCTCACTTCTTTATCAGCTGTTGCAATGAGAGCTCAGTGGAAACAATTATTGTCCGTGCTCAAAACAGACTTAACAGTTTGCAGATGATAGAATGGCAGCACACCAGGGTGTGATATAAACAATAAAAGGAATTTCCAGAAAATGCAAGATAAACAGAAAAGTAAAAAAATATATTTCGGCCGGGCTTGGTGGCTCATGCCTGTAACCCCAGCACTTTGGGAGGCCGAAGTGGGCAGATCACCTGAGGTCGGGAGTTCGAGACCAGCCTGACCTACATGGAGAAACCCCGTCTCTACTAAAAATACAAACTTAGCCTGTTACGGTGGTGCGTGCCTGTCATCCCAGCTATTTGGGAGGCTGAGACAGGAGAACCACTTGAATCTGGAAGGCAGAGGTTGCGGTGAGCCGGGATTGCGCCATTGCACTCTAGCCTGGGCAACAAAAGCGAAGCTCTGTCTCAATCAATCAATCAATCAATCAATCAATAATTTCATCCATACAGTTTGTAGGTCTACTTTACAGAAACGCTACAAAGGAAAGACCTAGGAAAAAGAGCTAATGGAGAACATGAACTTAAACATTTTAAGGCATGGATACTGAGCAAATTGGACATACTAAAACCCATCGCATGGTGTCTCAGTTACACAATACATGTAAAAAAAGTAAGACACATATCGCGCCTCATATAATCGAGTGCAGCTAACAACTGGTTCTAGATTGTTCTGGTCACCATCTCCACACAGCTACCAGGGATGTGTTAAAAGCATCAGTCTTCCTTCCCTTCTCCTTGTACCACATCTTATTCAGAATCAAAACAAAAGGCCAAGGTCCCAATCCCCTTTCAGCAATTCTGAGTTCCTCAAGACCAAATAGTCAGAGTTGAAAGCTGAAACTTCCAGTACAACAGAAGGTGTTCTGGTCTGAAATGAGAGCTGCCTCTCACCTTTGTTCTTTTCACCTTTTCTCTGCTGTACTGTACCCATAAACGATCACAGGGGAATGCCCAGACCCCGCGGGAGATTGTGTGTTCATGGTAATATGCAGAAAATTACGTGTTTTTTTTTTTTTTTAAGACAGGGTTTCCGGGCTTTTTTTTTTTTTTTAAGACGGAGTTTCTTGTTGCCCAGGCTAGAGTGCAACGGCGCGATCTCAGCTCACCACCACCTCTGCCTCCCACGTTCAAGCAATTCTGCCTCAGCCTCCCAAGTAACCGGGATTACAGGCATGCGCCATCACGCCAGGCTAATTTTGTATTTTTAGTAGAGATGGGGTTTCTCCATGTTGGGCAGGCTGATCTCAAACTCCTGACCTCATGTGATCCACCCACCTCAGCCTCCCAAAGTGCTGGGATTAGAGAAGTGAGCCTTTTTTTTTTTTTTTTTTTTTTTTTTGAGAGGGAGTCTCACTCTGTCGCCCAGGCTGAAGTGCAGTGGTACCATCTCGGCTCACCGCAACCTCCACCTCCCAGGTTTAAAAGTGATTCTGCTGCCTCAGCCTCCCAAGTAGCTGGGATTACAGACACCCACCACCACGCCTGGATAATTTTTGTATTTTAGTAGAGATGGGGTTTCACAATGTTGGTCAGGCCGGTCTTGAACTCCTGACCTCAAATGATCTGCCCGCCTCAGCCTTCCAAAGTGCTGGGATTACAGGTGTGAGCCACCAGGCCTGGCCTTTTAAATGTATTTCTGAACATGATTTCTAGTTAGAAAATTTTGATTTCTAATTACCTTTCTGAAAGTCTGGGTAAGTTCAAGTTCTGAAACACACTTGGCCCCCTCTAGGTTTGGAAAGACCTGACATTCCACTGGCCAGCCAAGCCCTGCAGAGGGGACCCCACCTCACTCCTGCGGAAGTCAGCTCTCACCACATTGGCACCTGGTCCCTCCAGCACCACAGTGTCCCTGCCCCAGGGTCTTTGCACTGCCCCATCCCTCTACTTGACAATGCCTCTCACTAGATCTCTGCATTAGATCGCTTCCTTGCCATTTTCCGGACAACACTGAAATCCGGCTTTTCTAGGAAGGCCTCCCAGGACCATATTGCTGCAAACAGCAGGTCCTGCATGCCTGGCCTGCTTACCCACTTGCTTGTTTTCTCTTTCTCAAGAGTACTCATGCCTCCTTCTTCACACAATGGCTATTTTGCTAATATTTTACTTATTTTGTCATAGAGTAAATAGAAACTCCATGAGAAAAGGAGTTCTATGATGTCTGACCAACAGAAAAATTTAATAAACACCTGAATAAATTTCTGTGCGGAATATCTGTGTGTGTGTTCTCCTTGAATTTCTGGCAAATATTACATATGAGTACCAATTTCAGGTATTCTCAACTGAACTTTAAAGAAAAATATGTTATTTTATGATTTGGATGAGCTAGCTAATGATGTTTCTTGCTAACTTTTACATTTAGAGGTGAAAATTTGATTATCACATAAGATATTTACTTGCCATAAAACGGAAAGCTGTAAAATTCCTACAGCTTTTATCTTTTGATTTTCTTTGAGGTGTTGTGTATTTTAAGCTGTAAAAGGCCTTTCATTCCTGGTAGGATTAAGAACTTTCTTTTGTTTCAACTTTTTTGAAATATACCTGACAAAAATCGCATACGTTCAAGGTACACTACTCAATGCGTTGCTATACTTTGTGAAACAGTCACCACGATCAAGTTAATTACCATTACTCACATAGTTACCGTGTGTGTGTGTGTGCATGCGTGTGTGTGTATGTGGTGAGAACAATTTCAACAGGTTATTTCTCTGTTGAATCTTTCAAATCCAATCCTTTGGAATTTTATTGACACATGAACAGAAAAATGTTTGCACAGTTCTTATTAAATATTTTAACTCCCCTCCCTTTTTAGCACAATTTGACAAATGTTTGCTGAACACTGCGCTCGGGGTGGAGATAAGGCAGGAGTGAATTTTACCTGTCTTCAAAGAACTTGCAGTCAAATGAGTGAGAAAATAAAAATATATAATCACAACTTCTTATAGAAGTCAACAAAGAAAAACTTCTTATAAAAATCACGAAGGCCATTAAGGTCAAGAATTCTGGGTGTGTGGCTGGGGCCAGGAGCAGGGGGACGTGCCAGGATGAGAAGAAACCTACCTGCACGTGGCCCCTACCCAGCCTGGAGGTCAGAGGTCGCCCCTCCAAGGTGAGCCATGGCAAGATCATCTCTCCAAACCTAGCCTGGAGGTGAGAGGCCACCCCTCCAAGGTGAGCCATGGCAAGAGCATCTCTCTAAATCCCACACCTGCATTCCTGCCGAGTTCCTTCTTGCCTAAGCTTTGGTTTTGAGGACCCTCAGGTATTTAGATGCCTTCATAGTGAAACCTGTTTTCTTAACAAAACTCCTGTGGAATTTAAGGAGGTTCCTGAAGCTGCAGGACAGGTGGGGTGCTGGGTGTGGATTATCTGGTTGCTGGTCTATCAGTTTGATATCCACATGTTTCTGCACCATGGTGTTGTCCACTGGGCTGGTGACATTAGGTTTGGGATCTCCCTGCCCATATCTGCAAGCTGGCTGCCACCAGTCCAGTGTCACCATTTCATAAGCACTGAGGTCTATTGATGGCATTTCCAGGGCCTCTGTCCCTCCGAAAATGGTGAGTAATTTTCTTATTCCAGGTGTCCCAATCCAGCCTCTTATGAAAAGCCAAAGCTCCACTTTTCACCCATGGTGAAGCCAGTGGTTAAACCTCTGGCTCATCGAAGAGTCGCACATGTTGTTGAGCAAAGACAGTGCCAGCCAAGGGCCCGCAACCTGTGTGCACCCTTTTCTAAGGCCGTGACACACTACAAATACTTCAAGCATGTGTAAGTAACTATGACTATGCTTTGCATGTGGTCTCCTCTATTCACACCAGAGGCAGCCTTCTGTATCCCTTGCCTGGTGATTAGGTGGTTGAAAAGGTGCAGATCACACTGTACTTGCATGTGCATATGTATGTGTGTATATGTGCAGCTGTTCATGAGTGCATATGTGTGTGAGTTGTGTATTGCACTTGTGTGCATGCATGTGCACATGTGCACATATGTGTGTTTATTTACTCACCGTATCTACTAACTTGTGAGCTTCTTGAAGCCTGGAGGAGACTTTTACCCCTTATATCTCTACACCAATACATGTTCATCAGGGACTGTATCTGCCATTCAAGTAGTCCATGTTTGAAGCCATGGAAATCTCAACTCTGAGAATGGAAAGGAGGAAACTATAGCTGCAAGAGGGTTTATGAAGGAAACATCGAGTTGAGAAAATGTCATGTGGACCTTTGGTGAATAATTCAGGGATAAGAAATACTCAACGGGTAAAAAAATCCCACATTAACTAGTAAAAAATAGCCAAGGTAAGAAAAAATCAGTGAGAACACTGAGTAATGAAGGATCATTACAGAATTCAGTACTCTGTGACCTTCTCAATATCCTAATTTTGGTGTCAGACGTTAAAAATGATAGGGAAATGAGAAGTATCATGTATTTCTAAGACCATGAGATGATTGTGAGAGAATGCTAATAGTTAGGTCTAAAGTAATACAGTTCCATTTCTTGCAGCATGTCTTTTCTCTTGTAAACACTTACAGGTGGTGATTATCCTGCACCCTGCCTGTGCGGGCTGTAATTACCATGCTAACAGAGCACATTATAGTAACGCACAGCACATCAGTCATGAAAGGAAGCCATCGCTCCTCTCAAGTGCTCAAAATACCCTCTTGGAAAGCAAGAGAGTTTCCGGAAAATTGTTGACACCTATACATATCAATTTTAACACATTTTCAGTTTTTTTAGATTTCAAATTCTTATCACCAATTGCAAAGTCAATTTTTACATATTAATCACAACTTTCAGTTAATTCATTGTACTCTTGTGATGTGTTTAAAGAAAAAAAATAACTATTTTAATGGTTTAAACAAAATTGTAACATAACTCCACTTAAAGTCCCTGGCCCCCAATAAGTGCCCTAATTATAATGCTTTTTATCCAAATATGAAAAAATTGTCTTATCTTTTATAGTAAACTAGAGACATCACTTTCTATTCTCTATTGAATTAATAGTGCATTTGTTTCCTAAGAAATGTCTTCTTGTTTTCTTATGAGATTTCCAGTGGAAATCAAATCATCACAATTTAATTTAAGATGGCACAAATTTATTTATTTCAAAGCTTTTCATTAAATGTTAATTGTCCAGGGATTATACAATGAAATGTACCAGTTAGTATAGACACACTTAGATGTATGTCATATATAGCTCAGGATTATTTTCACTAAAAGAATATTTTGAATAATCTTTTTCACAACAGTTGTTTAGAATAGGCAGGTCTGAGCTACTGTTTCTCAAATTTCCTTTTATCAGCCAAGACCAGGTTTGGAAAGCCCAATCCATGAGATGTGTGATCTCATACAGGAAAGATCCATTTCTTTTGCTCTAACCTTCATTTGCTCAAAAGGAGATTTCTATGCTAACTTTAAATCAGTTATGAATTTAATGACATAACAAAGGGTCTATTAAAGTACATGATGTGAACAACCGGGAAACATATTTATAAATAATTATTATTAATAACATTAATGACAAACTAATGCAATAGTCTAAATTACGTTAAAAATAATGTTTGTAAAACTGGAAGAAGACACACATAAAGTTAATAGTGATTAGAATAGTCTTACACTTAATTATTTTTTGTATATTATTTTATTTCCCAGATATTTTAAATTAAACATGTTGGTTTTACAAAAAGAAAAGCATAACAAACTGAAATATGCCTGAGAAATATTCATTTTTTCTACATTTTTTTAATCATAGAGCAGCAGAAAAAGCAAAAGGCCTTATTTAGAGTGTGAATAATGAAGCTACAAAGATTCTTGCACATGTATTTCTGTGAACATGTTTTTAATAGAAAATTCGTTGATGTATCATTCACTTAGAATAAAATGCTCTCATTTAAAGTCACAATCTATTGATTTTCAGAGGTGTGTGCTCCCGTGGAGTGGGCATCATGATTAATAAACAGACCCTCCCTATCACCCCCAAAGTTTTCTTACCACCATTTGAAGTAGGTCCCTCCCTGCATCTTCAATCTCCAAGAACCATCCGGCCGTCCACTGTAGGAATATAACAGTTTTCTCACCCATTCATTCACCAGTTGATAGGTATATTTATTTGTTCCAATTTGGGGCTATTATGAATAAAATTTCTATGAACATTCATGTACAGGTTTTTGTATAAGCTTTTAAAAATTTTATTTTGCATAAATACCCATGAGCTGAATTGCTGGTTTTTTGTAAGTACATGTTTAACTTCTTTATTTTCATGTGAAAATATTTTCCAGAGTG